>NC_000006.12:92152954-92303893 GCF_000001405.40 Homo sapiens | reverse complement strand
TCATTTCTTTATCAGTTACATTGGGAGTTTGATTTTTAATTGCCTTGAGGTAGTCTTCTTTGGGTTACATATGCTTCATGTTCTATAACCTTCTTGTATTTTTATATCTTTCTCTAGGTTTGTGAAGTTCTCTGTTATTATCCCTTTGAATAAACTTTCTACCCCCGAGATTGTGCCACTGCACTCCCACCTGGGCCACAGAACGAGACTCTGTCTCAAAAAAAAAAAAAAAAAAAACAAAAAAACAAAAACTTTCTACCCCTATATCTTTGTCTCCTCTTTAAGGCCAATAACTCTTAGTTTTGCCATTTTCAGGCTGTTTCTTAGATCCTGTAGGCGTGCCTCATTTTTTATTGTTTTTTCTTTTGTCTTCTCTGACTGTGTCTTTCCAAACAGCCTGTCTTCAAGCTCATTAATTCTTTTTTTCTGCTTGACCCATTCTGCTATTAAAGAACTCTGATGCATTCTTCAGTATGCCACTTATATTGTTCAGCTCCAGAATTTCTGCTGGATGCTTTTTAATTATTTCAATATCTTTGTTAAATTTATCTGATAGAATTCTGAGTTCCTTCTTGGTGTTATCTTGAATTTCTTTGAGTTTCCTAAACCCAGCTATTTTGAATTATCTGTCTGAAAGATCACATATCTCTGTTTCTCTGGGATTGGTCCATGGTGCCATATTTAGATTTTTTGGTTAGGTCATGTTTTCTTGGATTGTCTTGATAATTGCAGATGTTCATCTGTGTTTGGGAATTAAAGATTCAGGTATTTATTTTAGCCTTCACTGTCTGGACTTATTTGTCACTGTCCTTCTTGGGAAAACTCTCCAGATGTTTAACAGAATTTAGGTGTTGTGATCTAAGCTGTACCTTCTTTAGGGACATCCCATACCCAGTAATGCTGTGGTTCTTGCAGACGCATAGAGGTGCCATCTTGATGGTCTTGGACAAGATCCGGGAGAATTCTCTGGATTACCAGAGACTCTTGTTCCCTCCCCTTACTTTCACCCAGCATACAGAGTATCTCTCTCTGTTCTGAGCCACTTAAACCTGGAGGTGGAGTGACACAAACACCTCTCTGGCCATCACCGCTATGACTGTGCTAGGTCAGACCTGAAGCCATCACAGAGCTGGGTCTCTCACAAGGTCTGCGGTAGCCATTCCCTGTAACCATTCCCTTCAGCAAACCTATGTTTGCTGAAGACCCTGGGGATCTACAGTCAGCAAGTGGCAAAGCCAGCCAGGTCTGTGTTCTTCACTTTAGGGTGGTGAAGTCTCCCTGGCCCCGGGTGTGCCCAGAAATGCCATCTGGGAGTCAGCAACTAGAGTCAAAAATCTTAGAAGTCTACCTTGTTTTCTACTGTACTGTAGCTGAGCTGAAACCCAAAGCACACAATGCCATTCTTCCCACTCTTCCCTCCCCTTTCCAAAAGCAGAGGAACCTCACCCCATAGCCACTGCTATCCCAGGACATGAGCAGTGCTACTAGAATACTACCAATATTTCCTTAAGGCCCAACGTCTCTTAACTCAGCTGTGACGAATACTGTCTGGCTTGGGATTACCCTTCAGGGCATGGTCTCCTCTCTGGCACAGGGCAAGTCCAGAAATGCTGTCTAAGCGTCAGTTCTAAAATTGGGGATGTCAAGAGCCCACTTGGTGCTCTATCTTCACGTGGCTGTGCTGGTATCTAAAGTGCAAGAAAATAGCCCTTTACTTTTCCCTCTGCTTTTCTCAAGAAGGAGTTTTGTCCCATAGCCACTACAGCTGGTAATGTGCTGAGTCTTATCTGAAGACAGAAAGTTTCAGATGCTCACCTAAGGCCCTCAATGTAGTACCTGGGTGTCACTGCTGGTTATTCAGGGCCCAAGGGCTCGTCGGTTAGCAGGTGTTGAATACTGTCAGGACTAGATTCTTTCCTTCAAGGTAGTAGTTTCCCTTCTGGACCAAGGTGTGTCTAGAAATCTCATCTGGGAGATAGAGCCTCAAATGGGGCCTCCGGATGCTGAGCAATACCCTATCCTGTTGTGACTGAGCTGGTATCCTAGATTCAAGACAAAGTCTTCCCCATTCTTTCCTCTCTTCTCCTGGAGCAAAAGGAAGGAGTCTTTTTTCGAGCCACAAGCTGTGCAGCCTGGAATTAGGGTACGGGTGATGCCAGCACTCCCTAGGCTGCTCCAGCTTGTGTCTCAGGATGTCACGTGCCCCCAACACCACCCTTGGTCCACTATCTCTGGGCCAAATTCAGCACTAGGACTTGCTTAATAGTTGCAGTCCTTACGGTCTAGACCACCTTTCCAGTTTACTTTGAGAAACAGAGTGCTGTAGCCATCAGTGGTGAGGTTTACAGGCACTCAGGTTTAGACCGCTTGGATTGATGATTCCTCTCTGGCTAGGGCTGATTTAAATGCTCCCTTCATGGGAGAGCATCAGCTGGGCTTGGTCTGGTTTTTCTTTCTGCTCTGACAGAACAGCACTGAGTTCGGTGCCTCACAATTGCTGTGTTTTCCTTCCCCCAGCACCCAGAGATGTTCTTTGTACCACAACACTGCTGCCAGTGGTGGGATGGGGACTGGGGGTGTGTGGTAGCATCAGTAATTCAGAATTGTTTTTTTCTCTCTATTCTGTGCCTCTTTCAGTGACCTGAAGTTAAAACCAGATACTATGACTGCTCACCTAATTTTTCGTTCTAATGAAGTTGTGTTTTCTGTGTAGATAGTTGTTAACTTGGTGTCCTTGCAGAGCATGTGAAGGGGGTGGCAGGCTGTCATCTTGCTCAGCCTCCTGACTACCAATGTTTTTGGATTAAAACAAAATCAAGGGCTGGGAATGGTGGCTCAAGCCTGTAATCCCAGCACTTTGGGAGGCCAAGGCAGGTGAATCACGAGGTCAGGAGATCAAGACCATCCTGGCTAACATGGTGAAAACCTGTCTCTACTAAAATACAAAAAATTAGCCGGGCGTGGTGGTGGGCGCCTGTAGTCCAAGCTACTTGGGAGGCTGAGGCAGGAGAATGGCGTGAACCTGGGAGGCAGAGCTTGCAGTGAGCCGAGATTGCGCCACTGCACTCCAGCCTGGGCAACAGAGCAAGACTCAGTCTCGAAAAATAAATTATTATTATTATTATTATATTAAGATTATAAAAAAGAAAATTCTTCCTGATGACAAAGAAGCTTAATATTCCAAAGAAACATTTAATTAACCTATAATGAGCCATTTTCAATCTATGGTATTAAGTAACACTTAATCTTGAACCATGCAATGTTTACCATAGGTATCAACTTCACAGTAGAACAGCTAAGCCAATGCCTGTACCACAATTAACCTGATTGTGAGCTATGCAATTAGAAGGCTGTTTGCAGTATTATATGAGCATGGTTACAACCATTCTGGGGGTTTTCCTTAAACAATTTCTAATTACTGACTCATGTGGTATCAATGATAACTAAATTTTATGTTCCTGTAAGAAATGACACTGAAAATGTGACTGCATATGTTATTTTAATTAAATTTAGCATTTGTTTTAGTTTTTAGAGCAATGAACTGTAATTGTGTAATTTATTTTCAGATTCAATATAGTGGCTTTTTGGCTTATAGGACTTTTTTTTCTGAGCTTATTTGTAAATGTTAACAATATATTAAATTTTTTAAAGATTGATTTGTGAATGTTACAAATACAGTACAATTTTAATATTTTATTTTAATGTTGACTGCTTTTACATAAAAGTATTTTGTAAATATCTGATAGATAGGTAACGAAAAGAAAACCACCATGTAACACCAAAGCATACATTGGTTATTTATAAAATGAAGGAGAATCATCACTGTGAATTTTCCATTTCTGTTGAGTTGATCTTGTTCTTATTTACACCTGACAGTAAATCCTGGAGGGAAATTAATAGCATTCTTCACTAGAGAAGACATATCATTTTTTTCTTTTAGCAATGACCCTGATCTCTATGCCCAATGAAGAAGACAGATACACATTTAGATGACAGGCTTCAACCCAGCGGCTCATGTGTCTGACTACTCTCACAAGCTGCTAGAAACAAAGATTACTCTTAAAAAAAAAGTAAGGGTATAAGCCCAACAAAACAATATAATGAACTGAGAATTTGCAATTTACACACATAAACACTGCCCAAGGACAACAAATCAATGAGGTACAAAACTGGAGTAAACAAGATGGGAACTGTTTTGTCAGACAGAAAATGATGATAATGGAAAGTATCAAAAATATGTTATCAAATATATCAAAACCTTATTACAGCTATAAGATTATCTTTAAAATGAGACAATACTATTTATACATCCAAAGAAGACACTTCTGTGTTTGATTATTTAAAGGCTGAAACCTTCTTGTTTACAATTATCATTGATAAGAAATTCTTCTAAAATGGCGTTGAAAGCAATTACTCCTTCCCCCAACTTGGCCCTTAATATAGCTTTCTCTGCGTCTGTTTACATTCATGATTTGAATGGCAAGATTAGAGTGTAAAAGCAACCCTGATAGACGGCTTCTCAAAGCATACAAGCAAATCTGAAGGCTTAATAAAATTTCAAGGCTCAGTTGTAACTAGTGTTTTTGCTTCTAGCTCTTGCCTCAATAAGGACTGTCAAGTTTGAAAAGTATCATAATAGTGCATTTCAAGAGAAAATCATACAAAAATTTTATTAAGTTTATATATGAATCTATCTCCATATTTCTGTTAAGATATAAAAACCAACAAACAAACCACAACACAAGCAAAGTAAACTTCTAATAGAGTAAAGCAAAAGAAGGCCTTGGGGTTAGTTTTTAGAGTGGCTAATATAGATCCTGGGATGCATACATCCAAACTTTCAGAAAAAAAAAACCAGAACACAGCTTCCTGTTGCCATCAGGTCATCTTTATGTACATTTGGAGTCCTAATAGACATTTCTCTAGTGTGTTATCTGAGGAATCACTTAAATTTAATGAAGCTTTGGGACACAGGCTTTTTCCTCTACAATGGTTTAAAGCATGGTCTGAGCTTGGGCACATTATTTGATGCAGAATGGGGCCTCAAAAATGTTTGTTCAGTTAACTATGACATTCGTATTTGTGTATGAACAGTAGTTCATACACAAATGAACTAAAATTACATTAAAATAATGCAAACAATTGACACCTCAGCTAAAGAAGCCTGTAGGGGTGTTCAAACTCTGGTCTATAAAAGGGGTTACCTAACTATAGAACATTGTCTGTTTTTGTAAATCAAGTTTCACTGGAACACAGCCGTGCTTGTCCGTTTATATATTTTCTATGACTACTTTGGTATTACAACAGACCTGAGTAGTTAGATAGTGTATGGCTTGCAAAGATAAAAATGTTTACTATCTGGCCCTTTGAAGAAAAAGTTTGCAGACCTCTAGTCTATATTATTTCTAGTAAATTAAAGATTTCTAGTGTATGTTAAATCTAGTCTATGCTATTTTAAGAATAAGCTACTTAAAGGTTATAGGAAAACCATCATTTGCTAGGTTGTCTTTAAATAATTTGTACTAGCTTTTCTTCTGGTTACTCAGTAGCAGTGATTCTCTCAATCCAATATCTTATGTACAGTAAGTAAATGGGTTTTACAACTATATTACTGACCATATCCACACCTTTTCCAAATGTAGTAAAATTAAGCAACTACAGAAAACAGAATTCTTTAGAGTCTCTTGTAACTTGTAATTGGTTCAAAATTTTATCACATTAATTATATGGCAAGCTATATATACTAAATGTTTGTATTGGCTATTAATAACTTTCTTGCAAGAACTTGGGTAAATTCTAATGGACAAATTGGATCCTAATAGACTTGGTTCCATTTATAAATAATATTAGAAAAGGGCTAGCCTAAGTAAAACATAAATATATTAGAACGATAGTACATATTTTACAAAATCAAAGGAAGAGCTAAATTACCAGACCATGTGAAATATGTAAATAAAGACATTTCATTTCCAGGGATTGCAATAGTGGGATTTTGTGAACCGTTCATTTAGGTCACCACTATTGAATAACTACTCTAATTGCATTTTCTCCCTGAGTTTCTACTTGAGGTTCAAATCCCTGAGACAGTTACATTTTCCTAGTTTATGTTTTATAATCAACCAGACAGACAAAGTTTGTTGCCCACAATTGATAGCCCCACAAAAGGCACAGGGAAGGGACATTTCCTTCAAAATAAGAAATATTATGAAGAACTAAATGAAAGACCTTCATGAAAGCATTCCAAAGGGGAAAAAAAAAGCACAAAGTTGTGGTTGTGTGACAAATATGTACTCTGAAAGCAAGAAGGAGTACTCTGAAAGAAAGAAGGAATACTCTAAGGCTAGAACTATCGATATTTGCCAATGGAATATTAGAGCTGACAGAATAGAAGACAGAACTTCTATCTAGACGATAGGTCAGGGCTTTGTGGGACATGTGGTCCCATAATTATTTACTGTTGCAGTGTGAAAGCATCCATACACAATGCATAAACAAACAAGCATGTCCGTTGTTCAATAAAACTTTATTTATATAAACACGGGGTAGATCGGATTTTACTTGCAGGCCATAGTTTGCTCACATCTGTTGTTCATGGTTGTCAGAGAACACTGGATGGATGCCAGGGTTTATGCAAGAGGAACCTCTAGAATGTGAGTGGAAAAGACTTTCATTTGTACTTTTTCTTTTAATCCTTTAAAATGGATATGTATATTATTAAGATATATTTGTAGAATAATATATGACTATAATTTAGTTTTAAATGCATACACATATATTGGAAGTGCTTGTTCAACATTGTTTTACTAATACAGTCATATGAAAAAAAAGATGTATAGACAACTGCTGTAGGCAATAGGAAATCTGTACTTTTTCTTAATGCCAGTAAAGTAACCTAATTAGATTTATTTCTCAGAAGGATAATTTTGTGAGCTGTATTTTCATTATACTTAATTTCTTTACCAGGAATATAGTTATCATTTTGTTTTTAATTCAGAACTTTTCTTAATTTGTTTTTTAAATCTACTTGGCTATCTTAGTTTTATCAAATATAATGTTTCCTGATAGTTGTCCCAAATTAAAGCCATAAAAAGCATCAGTATTACAGAAAGCAATGATACCAAAAATAATAAAGAATTTCAGTAACTTGATGAGATCTTGTTGCAACAAAATAATTCAGTGAACTTTTTGGCGTTGCTTGAAGGAAACAGTGAAACCATTCAGTAGAGCATATCTAATTCTCTTGATAGAAGTGATTAAGTAATTAAATGGTAAAACCCCTGAACTATTACAGCCAAAGGAATATTAAAAAGGGTAACACAGAATGTGCCGTGATTTAATATAATGGAGAAAATGCATTTTTAAAATTAAACTAAGTCAGGAACTCTTCCTGTAAGAGAGAGTTGCACGCACTTTTCAGAATTAATGCAGTACAACAAAGACAACAACAAAGAATTTATCAGGCTGTAAGACTAAAGAAACAGGCAAACCCAACCTGGTGCTTACACAAGAGGGCATCTTCTCTAGAAAATAATGAAAGGGAGCACACATTCTATAGACATCCACTGGAGAAAGCTTGTTCTCAAAGGATAAACAAAATCAAAAACAACCAATAAAATTAAGCATTCACATTAATAGTGTTTGCCTTTAAACAAAGAAATGTAACCAAATTCTAACATAGACGACCTAAAGGTATAGTAGAGGCTTAACAAATTAGAGGTAAGTAAGGTAAGTGGAATCTAGATAAAATGAGAATAGATACTAATTAGGGTGCTTGAAATATATTATATCCACATGAATGACCCATTCTACACTCTGGCCTCAATATCACTGCTACTCCATCTCAGGCTTTCACTGCTGTGGTCCTATCCTGAATATCAGTATTATCAATAATTATGCCAACCAAAAATTGTGACCATCTGCTTCCATTCTTCTTGCTCATTTGCTCAATGTTCCTCTGCAATAATCTTTTTATTTCAGAGCTCAAATCAATTGACTCCAGTAAATTTCATTTTAAATTATTTTCCTCCAGATTATATTGCTTTCCTAGATTCATCATTATAATCATTCTTTTACACATATATTCAACTTTTTGCCCAAAAATTACAAATTATCCAAATTATTAATGAAGTTTTTATTAGTTAACTGTATGTATTGCTGTTGCTGCACTACTGTATTATTTTATGCTAAATTGTTGGGAACGTGCAACTGGTATTGTTCAGATGTACAAGATGACAGTGAATAATAATGGGCAGCTTCCTGAAAGCAGTGAGGGTTAATCGAGGGTTTCAGAACATACAGGTATCAAACGTATAACATGTATCGTATCGAATATTAAGAAAAATTTCAAGATTACTTAGAAAATATAGAGCACAGCTTTGTATATACAAGTTTCAAAGGTTACATAAGTTTACACCTACACCAGTGATTGTTGCACAGGGCACACATTGAGCAGTAATCTATTTTTAAGGATTTATCCTAGTGAAACAATAGTATTTTTCAGAAGTATAATGTTATTTTTCAACTAAAGCCCACTACATTTTATATATTCAATTATATTTTAGTCTCTTAGGCATTAATTTATATGCATATGAAAATTATATTACACTAAATGTTTAGCTCTTGATTAAGTCTCTTTTATGTAATATTGTACCCAATCATTTTTATGGCTCAACATATATATATAACATGGCATAGTAAACAACATTAAAAGCACAAGAGCTATCTACTGAGTTCAATCAGCATTTTATTCAAGATCTGCATTCACTGCAGATTTTTATTTGCAACTTGGTATAAATTGAAATCTAAGCATACATATTATAAACAATCATGCTATATTAATGTTTTCCTATATATTGATCTATGACAGTTTTCCTATATATTGATCTCTGTATTTTTAACTTCCATGTGTTATTTCAAGAGCTGAAAAAGTAATTTCAAATATTAGAGCAAGATTTGAGATTCTCACCGCTATGTGTCAGAAAAAAAATTTTAGTAGTGCACAATGGTTGCATTTAAGAAGTATAATAATTTCAGAGAATATTCTAGATTTTTCTTCTAAAATTCAGAAGTGGGCTACTCATTTTGCAGAACAAAATGATAATAAGATTCAATGTATACAAGCCTTAACGTAGTAAAAAGAAAATTTAAAGGTTTCATCAGAGTCTTCGCTCTAGACACGTATGCTTTACATTAGATAGAAAGTAGGAAGAAAAGATGAACCCACATCTGAACAAATAATTATAGTTTTGGTCTTAGAAGATCTATAATTTTATTGTTATAAATAATACCTCTGAGGACTAGCTACTGTCTTGCATTTGAGGAGAAAAGAAGTAGATAACTGAGCTGACCCTGATTCTTTGTATAACCAGGTAGCTTACTAATGTCTATTGTAGAGATCACTGTCAATATTTACATATGGCTTATAATCCATTATTACTTCATTCTGAATAAACATGTGTTGACCTAACTAGTCAAATCTGTTAGAATATGCAATCTGCAATGTTCATGAAATGTGCATTTCTAGTAACAGATTCATTAGAGTCAAATTTTGGATCAAGAGCCACAGCTAACTTACAAATTTATGGGTACAAGTTACGGATATATTTTGTATGTGTATATATAAATATATATGTATATATATATAAAAATCTGTATGTGTATATATATATAAATCTATGCATATTCCATATATGCACCTAAGAACATACACCCTATTTGAGTGCTATTAAGAAATGATAAAGCTTCAATAAATAAGAAAAACAAGGAAAAGTCCTTAAAATGGTCATTAAAAAAGAATCCAGAATAAATTGAAGTATGAAAAAATCTCCTGACATGAAAAAGGAAACAACATTTTTATTCATCAAAATTCATAGTTTTTCTAATATAATTAAAAAATAACCCATAACTTTTCATGTACTTGAAAAAGTAAGGTAAACCTTACCTGCCTAAAATTTGAAATCCAGAGTGCATACAAATAAAAACTTGACCTGTGCTAGACTTTCCCTTTTGAAAAGTAAATGCTGAGTGAAAAGATATTGGTTTTGAGAAACATAGAATTTTGAAAAAAATGTGTTTATAATCTGAAAATTCTATATTAATTCTCATATAGTTTATGTAAAGGCCAATGAGAATTCATTATTAAATATATAAGTAATGAAAATATTATTTTCCAATTATATTACACATATATGTAGACATAGACATACAGGTAGAGACAATATATGTTTATATAAATAATCAACCTATAAGAAAAATAAAATAACACTGAAAATTATATTAGAATAACACTAACAATCCTAAAGAATACATAGGAGATGAACACTAGAAATACGTATATATAGGTCTTTTGGATAGGTGAAAATCTTAACTGAGGAAAACCAAAGCAAACAAAAAAGAATTACTGAAAGAAATAATATAATTTAAATATTATATTTAATATATTGAATATAATTACTCCCTGCTCCTAGAAACCCAAATTAAATTAATACTGTCTAAATTGAGAAAGTTAGAATAAGAACACATCAAAGTTCTCTTAAATAGCAGAAGCTAAAATATAATACCTTTTTTGTCTATGGTCACTGAAAGAAAAGCCAAAACAATATAATTGATAAAAGACCACATGTATCAGCTATGACATCCATTGATTTAAATTTTTGATTCTGACCAGACATATTGTATAATAGCTAAGAACACTGGAGTCAGACAACCTGAGGGTTCAAAGGTGTTCTAATGCTTGCTGGTGTTTGACATTGTTTTAAATTCTGTAATTTGGTTTCCTCACCTGTAAAAGGATTATAATATACCCATCCATAGGTTCCTGGTGATTCAATTAGAATAAATAAAAAACAGCTTTGGAATGGCACCCACATATAGAAACCTTATGTAAGTATTTGTTGTTTTTATTATTGTTAAAAGAAGCAAAGGATCTTGGATTGCATGCTACTTACAAGAGACAAATCTACAGATGAAATATGCTAAAAATTAAGAATAAGAGTATGGAAAAATACACAGAAGTCAAGAGAGGAAAAAAAAGAAAGGAATATAAATATTGATACCTAAAGAAATTACATATCCATGAGAAATAAATGGAAATAAGAAGGTGAGAAAAAGTCAAACTAATATTCATAATAAGGATTTATGAATCAAGATTCTCTGTATATTTAAATATATGGTAATAACATCTATTTTTAAAACAGCTGGAAATTCAAAGAGAAATGAACAAATACATAAATGTATAGGGAGATTTAAACACAGAACTATTGGTCTTTGAGCATAATAGATTAAATGGATAAAAGTAAAGATACAGAGGATTTGAATAATTTAATAAGGTTGAACTTTGCTTATACATCTTTGATATTTGTGTTCTATCACAAATATACTTCCCTTCCATCCAAATGCCTCTCAGAAACAATTGCTAAAAGAATTAAGAGCTGTATGTCCCAACAGGAATAAAAACCACACTCAAATTTTAAAAATTTAAAGAGGGTTCATTTACAAAGTAACTATTTACAAAGGTGGGATTGGGTATATTAAACCACAAAGCAGTGCTGCAGTAACCTCAGGCTAGAGGCAGCAGGCACAAGAGGACAACAGAAGGGACAAGTTATCAACCCAGAAGGATGACTGGGTAAAGAGAGCTGTGCACAGAGGAGCATTAGAAGGATCCAGGCAGGCACAGATAGCCCTTCAGGAAGGGATGCAGAAGAATAAACACCCTGACTTTACTCTTCCCCTTCCTTTCATCCCCCTCCTGTGGCTTCTCAATTGATAAAACCAACTGGACTTCGACATTTAATTACCTGTCATCCTCAGTCTGATGCAGTCTTTTTTTCTAAGCCGGAAAAGTATCCTGATATCATCTTCTCAGCTAAACTAAATATCACTTTGAGATCATTAAAGCAAAGCCTTTCCCTTCCTCTAAATTTAATTTCTCTATTGTCTCCTTATGGTCAACAACCTGACTTTTGCTATACAGACTTATAATGGGTTTCACTTTGGATTAATAATAAATAACATGATTACATGAAACAATGACATTTCAAGGTAGCTTATTCTTCATGTTAAACCTAATCGTAATTTGAATAAAAGTTTTTTTTTAAGTAAGCATATGAGAATGCTATTACATAAGTTAAATAGAGACTGTATTAGTCTGTTCTCACGCTGCTGATAAAGACATATGCAAGACTGGGTAATTTATAAAGAAAAGAGATTTAATGAACTCGCAGTTCCACACGACTGAAGAGGCCTCACAATCATGGTGGAAGGCAAAGGAGGAACAAAGGCATGACTTACATGACAACAGGCAAGAGAAGTTGTGCAGGGGAACTTTGATTTTTAAAACTATCAGATCTCCTGAGACTTATTCATGATCAGGAGAACAGTATGGGGGAAATTGCCCCCATGACTCAATTATCTCCACCTGGCCCTGTCCTTGACACCTGGGGATTCTTAAAATTCAAGGTGAGATATGAGGGGGTACACAGCCAAACTATATCAGAAACCAAAGAGAACACTGTAAAGTAGATGAAAAATGCATTATAAAGCATAGAATGAAGTAAATAGGCAGTTTATAAACAATTATTACTTAATGTGTTGGTATTCTAATCCTCTGAATTTCCCAAATTCACATAGCCATCACAGTCACAATTTTTGAAAAATAATAAAATCATGTACTTCAAGAAAATAATATTTCATTGATAGCCTGTGATAGAAAAATGAATATGTCATACTGGATATTTCAATATCAGTTGTAATTTACAGTTGAGCAGTCTGTCTTAAGCAGGGTTGAGCTGGCATGTGACTTTTTCCTTAGTTGCAAATGTGAAGTTAAATGGTCACCATCACTGAGAACTTAGACAAGGTTTCACTGTTAAACCAATAACTGGGTTAGAGGTGGCTGTGTGTGTTTAATAAATAAATTACTCATCTTTTTAAAAATGCCATATAATTAAATGATTGATTTGTTATATATGTGGTGTTTTGATTATCTTGTTTATAATTGCTTTTAAAGATTACAGACATCTGAAAGATAAAATAGTATTGAAAACAAAGTTAGGTGCTACCTGCCTATGAAAGCCCCACAAGAGGGTGTATCAATAACACTTTAAACTCCTGCCAACTATATGGTATATATAAACAGTAGAGTTTTTTTTTTTTAATCTAGTGTAACTGTATAGTTTCTTTTGTTGGAATGATGATTCACTACCATTACAGTTGAATCTGTTTATTGTGATTGTATCTGGTGGCAGAATTAGTAAAAATTAATTATTCAAAAGTCATTAGAAAGCTTACTAGAGAAAAAATATTCTGGCTGAATATTATGGCAAAAATATTTTGTTGATAGTTGTCTAGAATAATTTTAAAAATATTTTATTAACAATATTGTATTTGGCTTAAAAATAATCATAAATAGGTCACATACCTTAATGTGCAGCAAATATTTCAAAATGCAAAATATGAAAATGAAAAATACATGTTGACACATTTCTGTATTTTTCTGTTTTTTAATTTTTTTTTTTTTTTGGTTTTTCTTTAAAGACAAAGATAGAGCTCTATAATTAAGATCCAGAATAATTTCTGATGGATTTTTATTGAACTGACATTTTTTTTCTTTATAGTTTTCAGACTAGGGTGCATCATTTGGCTAATAAATTATTTTTATACCTGAAACTAAAAAAAATCTATAATTTGCTTCCAGTTTTCAATTTGCAGTGATTCATTACACAGTTAGTTGACTATTTTACCTAGAAGACATCCAACTATTGACTTTTCAGTGCCTATTTTTCTTGAGATTCTCTACTATCTCCAAGGGAATTGTAAACAGTACAGTTTCCTCTTAGAGTGATGCATGTGTTCTTTGGCAGTTAAACTTTCACTCAGTTCTTAATGCAGCCAAAGACAGAGCTCATTAATCATACCCCAAAGCACATAACTATGGTTATACCTCTGTAGTTTCAAGATAGTAAGTAGAATCTGTTATCTTTTATGTACAAAAAGATTTACTCAACTGGTCATTATATAACTATATCCATTAACTTACCTCTTATCAACTATCACTCCATATTTCAAAATCAATAGTTAATTCTACCACAGTTATATGTCCATTAGAAGTGTATATCACCATGAAATTGTTAAAAAATTAAATAAGCTAAAAGATTTCATGAAGATGTTGATCTATTTACAATATATTAAGAGAGGATTTCACTTATCAATCTTTTAAACAATATTTAACCTGAAAAAAGATTAACCTCTGAAAAACTTCAAGTATTTTAATTTTGTGTAAATGACCTATCTTTATGTAAATAATAAGTATGTGTGTCTGTGTAGATACACATTTGAGAATGTTATTTTCAAAAAGAGCTGCTAAATATAATTTTTAAAAAGATTTTCACTCTACTAGTGAGCATATTTGCTGTATTAGGTTAAAGCCTGCCCTTTCCCTCTAGTCTGAATTCATTTTGTCTCTCCTTCCTGTTTACTGTACTCCGCTCCTACAGTGCAAGTTCTTCTGATGATACGACATCTATCGGCCCACTGCTCTATACCCCCAGCCCCATACTTCCTTTCTGCTCTGTCTCCAAAACATTTCCACTATTCCACTATGTCTATGGAAATCTGGCTCCCATTTAGCAAAATTCCTGTCACTTTCCCTAATTTCTTTAGTCCTTTTACTCTCTACATCCTTTATGTTATCATGCGGGTGTCTTACCTCCAATCGAAAGTGAACTCATCCTCATCCACTGATTCAAATGCCCTGAAGCCTTTCCTACCTCAATCTGTTATGCTCTTCCCTGTCTTTCCTCTACATCTCACTCTTAACTGCATATGTCCTCTCAGCATTCATATATACTGTAGTATCACCTATTCAAAACACAAAACAAAAAATTAGTTTCTTTTTACTCTACCTCTCTGTTTCCACACAGCCAATATGGGCTCCTAACATGTCACAGATTCTTCATTTTCTATTTACTTTTCAACTCATTTCAATAAGGGTTGCAAGATTTAGCAAACCAAACGAAACAAAAAATAAGTATGACTAGTTAAATTCAAATATTCCGATAAGCAACAAATGATATTTTAGTATAAATGTATCCCAAATATTACATGCATTACATCTGGAAACCCTAATTTCCTCAACACTCACTTTGATTGAAGAGCCAAAACAACTCTCGTTTTGATCAGAAACTATGTCTGTTGCTAATTCAATATCCTTAGAAACAAAGAAGGCCCCTTCACTCACCTGCAACATAAGAGAATACCAGGTAATTAACACTTTTTGAGAGCAGACATCCTAGCGACAAAATACTCTTGTTTCTTTCTTCCTATTTTATAAGAATGATTGACATGAGATTTACCATTTTACCATATGTTTTTAAGTGTACTAACAATAGGTAGTATATTCTATAGCAGATCTGTAAAACTTATTTATCTTGTATAACTGAAAATTTATACCCATTGAATGGTGTTGAAATAACTGGGTAGCCATAGGCAGAAGATTGAAACTGGACCCCTTCCTTACATCATATACAAAAATAAATTTAAGGTGGACTAAAGACTTAAACGTAAAACCTAAAGCTATAAAAACCCTGGAAGACAATGTAGGCAATACCTTTCTGGACACAGAAATGGGAAAAGATTTTATGACAAAGAAAACAAAAGCAATTGTAACAAAAGCAAAAATTGACAAAGGGATCCAATTCAACTAAAAAGCTTCTGCACAACAAAAGAAACTGTCAATAGAGTAAACAGACAACCTATAAAATGGGAGAAAATATTTGCAAATTATATATCTGACAAAAGTCTAGTATCCAGCATTTATAATGAACTTAAATTTATTTATTTATTTATTTATATAGAACTTTAAAAAATTTATAAGAAGAAAACCACTAAAAAGTGGGCAAAGGACACAAACAGATACTTTTCAAAAGAAGACTTGCATGCAGCCAACAAACATTACAAAAAATCCTCTATATAACTGATTATTAGACAAACACAAATCAAAACCACAGTGAGACACCATCTCACACCAGGCAGAATGGTCATTATTAAAAAGTCAGAAAATAACAGATGCATATGAGGTTGCAGGAAAAAGGGAATGCTTACACATTGTTGGTAGGAGTATAAATTAGTTCAGCCATTGTGGAAAGCAGTGTGGTGATTCCTCAAAGAGCTAAAAACAGAAGTTCCATTTGGTCCAGCAATCTCATTACTGGGATTATACCCAGTTTATACCCAAAGTAATATAAATCATTCTATCATAAAGACACATGCATGGGTATGTTCACTGCAGCACTATCCACAATAGAAAAGACATGGGATCAACCTAAATGTCCATCAATGGAAGACTGGGTAAAGAAAATGTACATATACACGATGGAATACTATGCAGGCATAAAAAAGAAGATCATGTCCTTTGCAGGAACATGGATAGAGCTGGAATCCATTATCCTTAGCAAAGTAATGCAGGAACAGAAAACCAAATACCACATATTCTGAGAGCACATGGACCCAAAGAGGGGAAAAACAGACACTGGGACTTTCTTGAGCATGGAAGGTGGCGGGAGAGAGAGAAGCAGAAAGAAGTAACTATTGAGTACTAGGCTTAGTATCTGGGTGATGAAATAATCTGTACATCAAACCCCTGTGATGCAAGTTAACCTATAAAACAAACCTGCACATGTACTTCTAAATGTAAAAGTTAAAAAAAAAAAAAACTTACTCCCATTGAAGAAAAACTCCTCATTTCCCTCTGTCAAAGCAAACACCATTCTACTCTGCGTCTGGGTTTGACTATCTTAGACACCACATGTAAGTGGAATTATGCAGGATTTGTCTTTCTATGTCTGGCTTATTTTACTTAGTATAATGTACTGAAGATTCATTCTGGGGCCTATAGACCCTAAATTGAGGACAGTTTCTTTATCCATTTATTCATTGATAAATATTTCGGTTGTTTTTATATCTTGACTATTTTGAATAATGTTTTAATGAATACAGCATTACAGATATTTATTCGACATACTGATTTCATATACTTTGGATGTATACTCAAAAGTGGGATTGCTGGATCATAAGGTATTTTTAATTTTTTTAAGCACCTGCATTCTGTTTTCCATAGTGGCTCCACAATTTTACCTTCTCAACAGTGCCGAAGAGTTTTAAATTTCTCCACATCCTGGCAAACACTTGCTACCTTTTTTTTTTTCAATAGCCATTCTAACATATATAAGATGATATCACATTGTGATTCCAAAAACAGCAACAACACCAACAATAGAAATACACGTGGACACTGTCGGAGGTGATGGATAAGTTTAATTACTTTGATTGTGATGATAATATCATGGGTATATGTATATGTCCAAATTCATCAAATTTTACACACTATGTACAGTTTTTTGTTATACCTCACTAAAACTGTTTTAAAAATACCCTAATTCCTATGCCCCTTCCATAGGGTAATTCTGGGGTATGTGTTTTATCTTATTTCTAAGGGATGAAGCATAGGATTATGCTCTAAAGTTGTAACTAGTTTAAATAATCCACTTTTTATTGGCTGCTTTATCTTCCCTGTCTTATTTCTCCCTCCCCTGACAGTGTTCTCAGCTCTTCCCAAATAAACTACATGCACTTAAATCCTTGTCTCAGAGTTATCTTCTGTAAAATCCAAAGGCAAGACTCAGGTCCATGACAATGTCATTTTTCAGTTTATATTATGTTCCTGATGGTCTCATCACTCCCATGACTTTAACTGCTTCCTACAGATAAGTTCATGTTTTCCAAAATTTTATTTCCAGCTCAGGCCACTCTTTCTAACATTGAGCTTTACAAAACAAGGAGTGTTTGATATCCGTCTGAATTACTCTTAAACATCTCAAAATTAACATGCTATTTTTTTCTTTTCCATAGTTACACTCTCTCTTTAATCTTTCAATAAGTAATGTGTTTACCTACCCAGTTATTTATGCAGGAGGCTAAAAGGGGTGCTTTTAACACTTCCCTATCGCTAACCTCCCCATGTAATATTTACCAAGCCCCAGAGATTGTCTCCAATGTATATTTTTAATAGATAACATTGCTCCCTCAAGACTGCTGCTCCCTTAACCTAAGCCACAATAGTCTCTTCCACTGGACTATTACAATATCCTCCAACCAGTCTTCTTATCCTCCAGTCTTCAGTATCCTCCAGTCTATTTTTTACCTCTTCCAATCCATTATTTACATAGTAGGCAAAGTAATATCTTGAAAATCTAAATTAAATCTGAACTACTTTGCTTGCAAAAACTTAAGTGGCTTCATATCTCCTTTTAAATAGAGTTCAAATACTTAGCATGGAATATAGGGCTTGATCTGTATAATTTTGCCACAGCCTAGATCTCCAGTCCCAGAACCTATCAGAAATATGCACTGGAGACAGTCTTTGGGATTTGGTAAAAGATAAGATGTGGAGGCTGGGGTAGGGCAGTATCAAAAGTGTTCCTTCCTAGCTTACTTCATAAATAACTGGGTAGATGAAGGAGTCATTTATTGAAAGATTAAAAGGAGAGTATAAATAAGGAAAAGAAAAAATTATCATGTTAATTTTGAGATGTTTACCAGTAATTCAGATAGATATCAAATCGTTGTTTCGTAAGCCTGAAAGTTAGAAGTATTGGCCACCCTGTTGCTGAGTCCTGATAAGCCTGACACACTACATTCTTTAAACAAATTCAATCACCAACTGCATGCTGTACCTCAATAGAGATATTCTAATTTCCCAGCACATTTTTATCACTGTAACTAGTTTTTCCTTCAAATTTCATCACATTATGTAATATATTTACCTTCATGATTAGTTGTTAAATGTCTTTTCTCCCTGCTAGAATATAATCTCCATGAAGACAAAAATAATGTCTATTTTGTTCCATATTATCAACACAAGTAGTTTGTCTTATTTATGGAACAGCTCAATTACTGATTGACTGAATATACTAAAAGAATGGAATGAGCTGTATATAATGAAGAGTTTAACCCATTTACTTTTTCCTGATAAATAGAATCTAAGGAAAGCTACAGCATCTAATCTTTACTGAATGTCTATTATGCACCAGGCATTGTGCTAGGCATTTTGCATGTTCCTTATTTGATCTTCACAAGTCAGACACCATTATAACCTTTTTAAAGGTAAAAGAAATAAGGTTCAGAGGGACTCAGAATGATTGTTACTCATATAAATCCATAAGGTTTATAAATATCAGAGCTGAAATTAGAGCTCATAGTTGTCATCAAATCTATCTTTTTCCAATAATATTCTAAAAATTTTATTGAACATATCCCATCTCAGTGTTATAACAATGGAAACTGATCTCAGCATTTTAGCATCTATTAAACTTGAACAAATATTGGTAAAGTAAACCACAACTTGCTTTATCAAATATTATTCTCAGAAATTTTACTACTAAATGACAATTTTTTCCATTTTTTAATGGTGAAAATTTCTTGGGATAAGATGTCATTTCTTAAATGTTAAAATACAGAGCAGTTTTAGATTAACACTGTCTTACAAGTGGATATTTATAGCACATAGAAAATGTGCCTGTGGCAGGAGAAACAAAATTATCACAGCATACCACAGCACTGGAGTCCACGGGCCCCAAAGGCAGCTGGGTTTCCATTTTAATCTACATTTACCATTTTTGGGACATTTGGCAAGCCGCCTACTCTTTCTTCAATCCTCTGTAAAGTGTGGGTAACAATAGTATTCACCTCATGAGCGTAATTGTGAGGAATGAATAAGTTAATACATATAGAATGCTTGAAATGGTTATAGGTACATATTAAGTGCCCAATAAATATTAGCATTTATCATCTGCTTTCAAAAACTTGCTAACATTTGTCATCTGCTAATTTATTCAAAAATTATTATCACCATATAATAGATTTATTAAAAACAGGTAAGGCTACTCAATCTTATTCTAGATGGGAAAGATAGACACTAAGATAATAAATAAGTGAACAAATATGACAATTTTGAATGGCAATAGTTGCCATGAATAAAATGAAGCAGGAAGTTATAATTCATAATGTATCAGGGTCAGAAGGTACAATCACAGATTAGGTGGACTGGAAAGGCTGACATTTATGTTGAACTCTCAATATCAAGCCATCTCAAAGTCTTTAGGAATCAATTTATGAATAAAACTAAATAATTTTTTTAAAATATTCTTTAATCAGTAAGAGATACATGGAAATATGGCCTCAGGCTAAAACTCAAGTATAATTTTTTCTTGTACTTTTAAGATGCCCTACTTCTACGTCTGATAAACAGTATCTGCTTTCTCTAAAATTCCAGCAAGATAATCATACTGTCTCAAACAAGATTTGTATTTCTTTCTTTGCAGTTAGGGCTGATGGGGAGCATCAACACCAAAGCATTTAGAAAGAAGCAGAAAAGAGAAAAAAAATAGCCAGGTATTAGGGAGCTTGCCATGCTCTAGACAGTTTTTTATAATAGAACTTTAGCACACACATATTATTTAGTCTTTACAAAAGTTCAAGTTGTTAATTACATTATCCCCGTTTCTCTAATGTGGCTCAAAAGGATTGCTACATCCTTAAAATCTCATAGCCGGAAGAGCTTGGATTGGAAGGAGGTCTTCCTGATTCCAAAGTCTCAATTCATAGCTTACTAGTAAGCATTCTCACACACTAGGGACTCACCTTTTTTATTACTGATACAACTGCTGTGGTTGGTTGTGGTGGTGATGATGTTGTCATTGTCTTGCAGGTGCTTGCTCTATATTAATCTTAAATTAAATCAAAATAAACTATGTATGTAGAAATTTGTGTATTTCAGCTTTATAGAGTAATATGCTAATATTGGTATTAACTGTTGTATTTTTCAATTTTTAGTTTGATCATTATATTTGTGTCATTTTCATTTAATGTTAAAAATACACACACACACTTTGCTTTAACAAGCAAAAATTATTTGAATTTTTATCATAAAACACAATTTGCTAATCACTCTCATCTGCATATTGTTCTGAATGCCTTTAA
This sequence comes from Homo sapiens, assembly GCF_000001405.40. Lineage (NCBI taxonomy): Eukaryota > Metazoa > Chordata > Mammalia > Primates > Hominidae > Homo > Homo sapiens. The sequence continues at coordinate 92,282,857 of NC_000006.12, read as the reverse complement.
GATGAAAAAAAGTAGTTTGTCTGGTTGTCTGTGGTATTTTTAAAAATCAAACAATTCAAATGCTTAGTGTTTATGTTAAATCATCTAGATGACTGGATTTAATGGATGGAAATCACAAGATGTTATGTCGTTGTATAGACACAGCCATTGTACCAATCTCTTGTTGCTCTGTCCCAAGAAGAGAAGAAAGACTGAATGTAAATTTACATGGTGTCAGCAGCAAATTCTAATATGATTGCATAGGGAGTGTATTTGGGTTGCTCTATTATTTATTCCCATACTGAAATCATTCTTATCAGACATAGCAAGTGCTGGTAAGTAACCAAAATGGGTGAAATAAAATTTGCTACAGGAAAATATTCTTAAAACTTCTCTAATTACCTCCAAAATAAACACAAAGAAATTGGTCTGAGCTATACATTTCCTCATATCACAAAACTGGCACTAAATCAGCTCTTAAAATGTTGCTTTTTTATTAAGTTTCTTCAAGTGAGTAATACAACCATACACACCAAACACTTCAAATAATGTCTGAAAATAAATAAGTAACAAACTTAAATAAGGATAAACAAATGTTTTTAGAACCTGAAAATAGATTACATATGCTGAGATTCCATTAACAACAGAAACCATACTCACTCTGGGGGGAGATTGGGGTTTTTTCACAGTGAGCAAAAATGAGTTCTTGAAGAAAAAAGGTCACTCATCTCAAGGAAAGTTTACTTAATTTCAAAGAAAAAAAAGAAAGACGTCAAGAATAAAATTTTATAACACATGTATTAGGAAAATACTTTCAAAAAATATATAAGAAAAATTTCTCTCCATTTCATGTGTCAGTGAATAACTCATTTTCCCATTCTGATTTGATAACATTTGGGCTGAGTCAAAAGAAAATATAAAGTGTTCATTGAAGGTGTGAAGAGGTCATAAACTTAAACCATAAAATATTGGGAGATTTTACTCTTTAAGTCCTGGTAGCATAGTTTAGGTATGACGTAATTAATCTCATCTTAAAGAATGAAAACAGTATTTATTTTAAGAAATTCTCATCTGTACAGTGGAGAGTCCCACCATCTTGACTTTCTATTTCCTCAGCTGTTCCTGTCTCCTGATTTAGACATGTAAAAATAGATGACTAATATATTCTTGTTATAAAATTGAAAGACGAATCCCTCTCTCCATGTCGAAGGTTAATTCATCTCCCAATGCTATGACTCCTACTTCAGTTTATATAATCAGGAACTTTGCTCTAGCTGATGATTCTTTTTTTCTGATTGATCTAAAACATCTTTGTCACCAATTACTCCTAACCTTCTGCTTATAAATGTGCTCACAATTTTTCATGTTAAAAAAGTTTTACATCTCTCTAGCTAAATACAAAGCTTAAATGTCTTGCCATTCTTAAGAAGCCACTTTTGCATATTACCTGTCTTGTTTTTGTTGTTGTTGTGTGTTTGTTTGTTTGTTTTTTCCTTTCCGTATTTCTCAAACCTCCCCTTGACTGGGAGCAATCTGATAACATTTCTTCCATGTCACTTAAGTTGTTTTGTCAAAGTCATTTACAATTCTATTTGCTGACACCAAAGAACAGGTTTCAGTGAATAACCTGACCCTTTTCCAACTGAAATGAGAGAAGAATTCAAGTTGTTTTCAACAAACAAATCAGCTATCCTTTTTGGAACTGGATGGTAATGGAGATGACATCAATCAATCTTCTTCCATGTTTTCTCCTATAATGCATTCTGTGTCTGGACAAAAAGTGATTACAGAAAAGGTCTAATGTGATTTGCATTGTTCTTTGACCACTTAAAGTATGCGAGTGCTTTGCTGTACTTCATATTCACATCATTATTTGCATCATTAAATACTTACCAAATACTATATGAAATAAACATTTAAAACATGCTAAATAAATAAATCAGAAGAAAATCAACAAATTAAAGAGTCTGGTAGCAGTATTTTAAACATGAATGGCTATTAGTCTTAAAATTAATTGTATTTTTAATTTGTCCTTCACCTAATTCATATTCTTATAAGATTTTCATTAGAGGTTCATTTAAAAATACTTTAAGAAAAAATAGGGATTAAGAGAAAATTTTCTGAAAGGCTATATAGTACATAAAGTGTTTTGATTCTTTAAATAAAAAATGCAATATCAATCTAGCCCCATTGATATGGAAAAATATTTCATGTATGTAAAACCGAACCCCTGCAAGATAAAGCAATGATCTATTAATATCATTCAAACAGAGCTAAAATTGGTTTTAAAACTGCTTAATTATACTGTGTGGTGTGTGTGTGTGTGTGTGTGTGTGTGTGTGTGTGTGTATATATATATATGCATATTTCATGCAAATTAAGACATTTAGATAAATTCCACCAATCACAACAGAAGATATTAGGCTCTAAAGCATGCTTCTGTTTCATAGCTTAGGTATGATCTATTTTAAGACAAAACTGCTACATGCTGTTATTTATTTCCAGGTGCAATAAAATCTATTTAATTTGAAGACTGATTAAAGTAGAGAAACCTCATGACAAGGAAAAAAATGGATACTCTGCCAATCAAACTAGGGTCTGACACAGACTGCCAAACATAGCAGAGTAGGTTCAGTAGGGGAGGGAATATGTCAGCAATGATCTTGAGTACTCATATATAGTTTTTTAATGCTGTAAGTCATGAAATTAATTTAAAGTATTAATATTTTGAACCTAAGACATATTAAATTTATAGTGGAAATTTCCCTCTAAAAGAATTAACTTATTAATGTTAGTAAAAATTACCACTCAATGAGATGCTTGTATTTGTTTTATGTATATATTCCAGAGGACATGTATAAACACACCAAGAAAATCAACTTAAGGATAAAGTAGAAAAGTCATCTCTCACACTTTTATGATAAAATATAATTTACTTCCAAATCCTAAGTGCTTTGATATAAAAAATGATGTTACTGAATTTAAAAAATTAATTTAAGATTTTTATTTATTTGTGTGTGCTCTGGAGATAAATGATAAGATAATGGGGGTTCAACTTATGATTTACGTGGTCGAATTTGAAACAAGAGGCTAACATTATTTAAGTTCTCAAATGGCCAAAATGTTAGAAAATTAGAAATATCTTTTTGAAAGTAAATTTTCCTCTTTTTCAGATTTGTGACCCTAAAATGAGTTTATGTAATTGGAAATAATTTTGACTGCTATTTTTAGTACTAAGTATTATTGTATTAAGGTGGTCAAGATAAAATTTTAAATTTTAGGTATGTAAGCTTTATTGATTAGGCCAAACAATTTATTTTAAAACTGAAGATCTAGATTAAAATCCAGTATCTTTTGTTTTCCATTAGAAATTTACTCACTTTTCTGAAACTTTGTTTCTTACGTGTCAAATAGTTATATCACCTTTCACATAGAGTTGTCTTCATATTAAAGACAATCTATATAAAATAAGTAGTAGAGTTACATAGTAGAGCTTCAGAAAATGCTAGTTTCCCTTTTACTAATGATTAAGGAAAAATCATGAATTTATATGCATCTGTTTATAAATCAAAGACAAATCTTATGTGCAACATTACGAAATATTACCAATGGAGGTAACATATTTCCAAACACCGTCAACTGAAAATATCACAGTGATTTGAGCTTTCTGTGATATATTGTTGAACATGGAGGAATTTTTTGAGTCCTGAATATATCATCAAAATCAACAGGAACCTAAAGACCTTCGGGAATTATAATTTTAGTTAGACCAGAAGGTTAAAACAAAAAAGAACTATTTTTTTATTATTTTTTTTTATTTAGTAGTTTTTTAGTTCTAGATACAGAGAACCTTATTTCTTCCACTTCCAGTTTCCAACTACTGGCACCTTAGTTTTGAGTGAACATCATCTGGCTATGACTACAGTTCCTTAGGTCACCACCTTATCTTCAATATGACTTTCTCAAATTCATCCTTCTGACAGTTGCCAAGGTCTTCCATTAAATGCAAATCTGACCTTTCCACATCCCCACACACGGCTCCTCATTGCTGTAAAGTACATTTCCAAGTGCCTTATTATAACACATAATTCCTTCAGTATCATTTTCAACCCCATCTGTTGCCACTGCCTACCTTACATTTTAAGTTCCAGCACACCAAATCGTTAATATTTTTCCTGAACACATTATGAGACTTTTCATCTCTGTTTCTTTGCTTAAATATTAGTGAGTTATATCCAGAATCATCCTCTTGAACACCATTTGGTGTGAATAAATTATATTTATGTATATAAACTAAATTACGCTGTTACCACCTCCATGAAGGGTTTTTGATATTTCCCTTATGATAATGGGAATATATGCAACCAAACGTAAAGAAATGACTGACAAATTTAAGTGCACAAGAACATTAAAAGTAAACACGAAAATCATGAATAAAGTAGTAAGAGACATTAGGTGGGAAAATCATATTTATAGTGTGCATGTGTTGGTACACAACAGACCAAGGATTAGTAGAAAAGATAAGGAGTTTCTCTAAAAAATTTTAAGAAATAGTTGAACTAATATAAAGAAGAAAAACACACATACAAATAATTCAAGAAAAGGAAAACTCAAATAATGCCTTTGTACATTAATGAATAATATTCTCAAATATTATCAAGAAAAGACAAGTAAAAGAAAAATTACAATCCCATTTTTATTTTTACAAATTAGCTTTACAAAATGTTAGAAATGATTGATAATATTAAGCATTGGTGAAAAATTGGTAAAATAATCTCGGATGTACTAATTCCTCCAGAAAGTCAAATAAAAGGTAATAAAAGATGTTTGTACAAAGATATTCGCTTGAAAGCTTTTCAGTTAAGACAAAAGTGTTAACAGCTTATATGCTTGTTAATTTTTATATGGTGAAATTATATATTGTGGATGCTTATTTTGGAATAACATTTTAATATGGGAAACAACAAAAATAGGCTATTTTATTTATATACAAAATATGTTAAGCATAAACATCATGCCATAGAACTTTACAGATAGTATAATACACTTACATTAAAATATATTTGTAAGATTTTAAATATGAGACAGACAGAAAGTATGAAACAGTTGGTCAAAAACAACTTTTTAGGCCAGGCGCGGTGGCTCACACCTGTAATCTCAGCACTTTGGGAGGCTGAGGGGGGCGGATCACGAGGTCAGGAGTTCCAGACCAGTCTGACCAACATGGTGAAACCTTGTCTCTACTGAAAATACAAAAATTAGTCGGGCATGGTGGCATGCACCTGTAATCCCAGCTACTCAAGAAGAGGAGGCAGAGGCAGGAGAATTGCTTGAACCCGGGAGGTGGAGGTTGCAGTGAGCAGAGAATCGCACCACTGCACTCCAGCCTGAGTGACAGAGAGAGATTCCATCTCAAAAACAAACAAAAACCTGTTTTTTTATGAGCTGTTTCTGTTTAATTATGAGTTCCATGACTTACTAAGTGTGTGGTTTGGGGCAAGTTACTTAATCTCTTTATGCCTCAGTTTCTACATCTGTAAAATGGATGGAAAATTTTTTTTAAATAGATTAAAAGGATTGAAAGCTACACACAAGCCAGGTGCTGTGGCTCACGCCTGTAATCCCAGAACTTTGGGAGGCCGAGGCAGGCAGATCACGAGGTCAAGAGATCGAGACCATCCTGGCCAACATGGTGAAACCGTTTCTCTACCAAAAATACAAAAATTAGCTGGATGTGTTGGCGCACGCATGTAGTCCCAGCTACTTGGGAGGCTGAGGCAGGAGAATCGCTCGAACCTGGGAGTCGGATGTTGCAGTGGGCAGAGAACATGCCACTGCACTCCAGCCAGGAGACAGAGAGAGACTCTGTCACAGAGAAAAAAAAAATACACATAGACTTCACATTAGAGTTTACTCTGAGCAAGGCAGTGGGAATTAGAGAGATCTCACTTGGGAAGTTTCAGTTCTTCCTCAATATATTTCCATATTTTAACATATTTTACATTAGCTGTAATATTTTTACAATTGCAAATATAAAAAATAAAATGTGAAGTTGCTCAGATACGTAATATGGACAAGCTTTCCATATCATCCATGTACAAACAAGCAAACACAATTAATGGAATTGTTACAAAGATTCACGTGAAGCATAACAGCATATGACTGTGTGTTGGTTTATATGGATATGCCACAGCATGCAGTAAGAAAACATTCCTCTCTCACCTTCTATCTAAGATTTAAAAAAAGTAAGTTTGAAACTAAGTAAAGCAATGCATACACTGAAGGGAAAAAGCCTTAGGTAGGTATCAGTAGGTATAGGAGCTGCTCAGCTAGGTTGACCAGGCTTGGCAGTAAAATCTCGAATACAGTTGCCAGTTCAAATTAACTTGATCAAGATACTTATGCAATTCAATATGGTTGTTTTATTCAAAAAAGTTAATTTTAACAATAAATTACAGGTCTGGGTGGGGTGGCTCACCCCTGTAATCCCAACAGTTTGAGAGGCCAAGGTGGGCAGATCACCTGAGGTCAGGAATTCGAGACCAGCCTGGTCAACATAGTGAAACCCTGTCTCTACTAAAAATACAAAAATTAGCCAGGTTTGGTGGTGGGTGCCTGTAATTCCCAGCTACTCAGGAGGCTGAGGAAGGAGTCACTTGAACCCCAGAGGCAGAGGTTGCAGTGAGCCAAGATTGTGCCATTGCACTCCAGCCTGGGCAACAAGAGCAAAATTCCATATCCCAAAAAATAAATAAATAAGAATAAATAAATTACAGAATGAGATTTGTGGATTCAATAGTAAAGAAGAACCATACAGAAACAATTATACATTGATCATAATTAGATATATAATATAATATGTGGGTTAATTTCTGATCCGTCCTCATAAGTGCTGGTAAAATATTTACTCATATGTAGTTGATAGAAGTAGTTCTATTCCCTTCCCATTTTAACTTCCTGCATTCATTGTAATCTGCTTATTTCTTTCTTTCAAGTTAGTCTGTATCAGAATTATCTCTGTTTATCAAGTTTTCCCTAACAATTGTAAAGAATTCTGTCTTTCTGCATTGCACAATGTTAACAGCTGAAATACAATTTACCTCTACTGTATTCTATGGAAGTTAATATTCCTAAATTTCATGCTCCGTCTTTAATGAAAGTAGATGATATAGGTAGAAGTAACTTTTCTTCTTCCATGATCAGGAAATTCATCTAATTAGAGTGCTTCTCTCACCCGAGGATGACTAATCTCCATCTAAACTATGCTGCACCGTAACTCTCTTTATCTTCGTGGTGTCTAGTTTGTCCTTTGATGATAGCTGTTTCATAGTCTATCCTATGATAGCTGTTTTATAGTCTATCTATGATGATAGCTGTTTTATAGTCTATCCTATCTTTGGCAGTGATAGGAACAGGAGACAGGGAAATTCTGGGCAGAAGAGGGTGGGTGCCTTGTGAGGGCCCCACTCTCAAGCCCAGAACCGCAGCCCAAAGTGAGAACATACATTCCTGTTTTCCTGCTCAAATGTTGGCTTTTCCAAAACCGCCCATGGCCTGCCCCGCCCCACCCCACCATCCTGTGCCCATAAAAACCTCAGGTTCTGTGGGCAGAGGGAGGAGAAGAGGAGAAGCAGCTGGATATTGGAGACTATTGTTGGATGTCGGATAGAACCAGCTTAATTTCAGAGTGATAGATTAATTGCGTAGCTTCAGAGAGGAGTCCAGACAGCTGGACTCTGGGGGAAGATTACCTCTCCACTTTGTCCCCTTTCCAGCTTCCCTTCCTGCTGAGAGCCACTGTCATTGGCAATAAAATCCCCCCCATCCATCATCTCCAATTTGTTTGTGCAACCTCATTCCTCCTGGACCCCAGACAGGAATTCAGGTGTGGATGCAAAAGGCTGTCACACTGACCCTCCACTGAGCTGTGAACACTTAAGCCATCTGTGGATGGCAAAGCTAAAAGAGCACTGACTATAACATTCCTTCTGAAGCTCCAGGGGTCACGGGCATCCCTTTATGTGCTGCCGTGGGGCTAGAAGTACTCGCCCTGGCTCCTGCACCTGCTCACTCGCGTTCTCTCTCCCGTGGGGGGTTGAGCACAGCGGGTTTAAGTGAGTAGAGGTTGCCCCTGCCAGTGCCCATCCACTCCAGTTCCAGCGTGCAGAGGGGTCAAGGAAGATATCCTGCTTCAGCAGGAAAAGGACTGCATTCAGGTAGAATACAGCCTCATAAAATCTTCCTACAGTGCAAAAGTCATTGATTTTACAAGATCTCCTAAATTCTAATTGTCAACATTTTTCTAGGTACAGGAACACTGGGTTTTACTTTTTAACTGCTTCCTACCCATTCTATGTAAATTATATTTATGAACACAAGACCAGCTAGTTTAAAACAAAATGTAATCAGAATTGACTGAAAAATGTTTTGATGCTATAGAAGGAGACCTTTAAAATATAACTGATATTAAAAAGTTCTTATGAAAAGCCCAGATAAGGACTTCAAAATCTTTCAAGAACCGTGAAAATCTTGAAAATCACTGGTTTTTCAAGCTTTTCACTATATTCAATGTCAACACTTAACCATTGGATTATAACAGGCTAAAATAACTTCACAGTAGGCATGTGATGGTTATTAAATAACTGCATAAAAATAAAGGAATGAAATGAACAGATTCTTTTTACAGATTACTTCATTACTTCTACCTGAGGGTCTTGTCCAACTTCGACTCAAGTTACTCTATGTGGGTAGTGAAAATTTTATTACTGCTGTAGCAGCTACTAACTCTGAAAATGGTTATTTGCTCCTAGAGAGTAATACAGTTTTGACTTCCAGGCAGTCTGAAAAAAAAAGGTCTAGAAGTAACTTCGCTCCTTCTATGATCAGAAAAGACACATTCTCAGGCACCCAGGGAAAAATTAAAGTCAACATAATATTTAACAGCCATGGGAGTACCTAATAATCCACTTTAATTGCCCTCATGAGAAATACAAATTTACCTTTATGTCTTTATTGTGATTCCTCCAATCTATCAAATGACTGAATTTGGCAATTCCCTTCCCTTTGATTGCTCTAATCTATCAAATGATGAAACTATGTGATTCTCATTTCCTCTAAAAGGGTGTTCTGTTTTTCTCTTTTCTTTTTCGTAGACTGATTTACAGCCTTTTCTTCTGTTGCTCCCTCTAGTACTCTCTTTCCATATTTCTACCAGCTTTTGTGTTAAACAGTTTAACTAAATTGCATGGAGGCTCACCCCCTCATTAACTTTAATCCCTGACTTCCTTCTTTTAAATTAGCAGTGCCGGACCATCAGGAGAGTTTTATGACCATCACCCATTTCTTTCTTTTCAAGATTATATAAATACAGTCACTGTATTTATTCTCAATGAGAGTTACAGTATTCCCAATGAGAACACTATTAGAACTCATTTCCTCTGAGATTAAAAGCATTCTGCCTAAATTTCTTCTCTTATACATGTGTTTTACATTTGTTTTTATTGATTTACACATTAAAAGAAGGCTGAATGGAATTACACAATTCTAAGTATGCAATTTCAGCCCTTAATATTTTAAAAATTATATCCAATTAATATGTATATCAAGATCTTTAGCTTACAATGCTAGATACATTATTTTGATTTTGTTTTATAACTATTGTTCCAACACCTTGAAATAATACTATTAGTTGGATATTTCTATATATTTTTAGTATTTTCACATAAAATAAATTACTACTGCACACATTTAGTTATTATGTGCTTTTTGATTTTGGCACTGACTTATTAATTAAATAACGACTTTTGTTAATTATTCCCACATGTACTCAAACACTACTTTCTATAAAATTAATTTAATATTTTTATGTATTTATTATAATGCTTTATTATTATCAGTGGTTGAAAGAGAAGGCCATCATAAGGATTATGTGGTGGCCAGCAACTCAGAGACCAAAGAAATAATTGGTGAACTCCAGGACATGTGGCTGGGAGGGCATTCATTCATTTCTTCAGCATTACATGTGTGGTGTTATATACTAAACACTGCAATGTCAGGATGAGTAAAGCTCAGCCTCTGCCCATGGAGATAATCAGAAGCTAGTGGATAAGACAGAATATTCTTCACTAACTATAATTCAAGTAAGCTACAATAAAAACTTTGAAAGAAGCATGAAATGCTTTGAGAATAAAGGGGGGAAACAAATGACCACTGGAGATAAAATGACTCTCCACCAACAGTTTTTCATCCATTTTAAATCCAGTGTTCAAGCATGCTACAAGACAAACATGTTGCTAGGTGTCATGTGCACAAAAATGTATTAAAAATTATCCTACTCTCAGGGTGTTTACACTCTAGTGAGTGATATTTAATCTGCACACACTCAAACAAAGAAGTGAAGGAGGCAGAGAAACATACTTCAGGCACAATAAAACAAAGAGCAAAAAATGAAAGAAACTTGGGATTGAGACAATATTAGAAGCATTCAGAGCTGGGTATGTATATACCTATGCCACTAGAATAAAGACAGAGGGGAGGGGAGGCGATGAGAGTAGAGAAAGAGTGTTGTAATATAGGTGAGGACAGACCATGAAGGAAATTTAATTCCCCCCAAAGGGTTTTCACCTTTTGTTTGTTTGTTTGTTTGTTTGTTTGTTTGAGACAGAGTCTCACTCTGTTGCCTAGGCTGGAGTGCAGTGGAGTAATCATGGCTCACTGCAGCCTTGACATCCCTGGGCTCAGGTGAGCCTACCACCTCAGCCTCCTGTGTAGCTGGGACTACTGGCATTCACCCCCACATCCAGCTAATTTTTTGTATGTTTTTTGTAGACACTAGGTTTCACCATGTTGCCCAGGCTAGTCTCGAACTCCTGGGCTCAAGCAATCCTCCTGCCTCCACCTCCCAAACTGTGGGATTACAGGCATGAGACACTGCACTTGGCCAGTTTTTCTTCTTAATTGTACATTCAATGAGTTGTAATAAAAACTTTCTAGTAGAGGTATATACACAAATAACTGAAGCAACAGAGGGGAAGATAGGTTATTGGTGTGGATGGAAAGACCAACGATGGGGACTAATAGACAAATGGAGAAATGTTATCAAGACTGATGTTTTGGATGTGGAAATGGTAGCTGTATAGAATAAGTTACAGGAAAAAGAAAACAAGTTTGTTCAACTCTGAGCAGTAGCATTGATGCCAATACAGATTCCCATGACTGGATTACAGAATGCAGTATAGTTTAATAACAACATTTTTAGTGGATTTGAAGATCATATTGGCTGAGATGCCAAGTGAGCAGCTAGAAATTGAAGTAATACTGAGAAAGATAGATATTCACATAGTATTAATATGTGTTGATAGTTTCAACAATGGGACTGGATGAAACTGGCCAGTGAGAGAGAACAAAGAAGGAAAATGGACAGAAAGACAGAACACTGGGGAACAATTAAAATAAAAGAATAGGAAGAGAAACAGGAGACCTTGGAAGGTCCTGCTATAGGGCAGTCAGGAACATCAATAAATGTTTCCACAGGAATGGAGTATTATTAACAACTTATGACAAAACAGTTCAACATATCTGGGGATGACTGATGACCTTTACACAATCTGACTCAGTAAAATAATAGCAGCAGCATGACTACAGAAGAATAAAGACTGAATGGGAGATAATGAAGTGGAAGCAGCAAGTGGAATACTAACAGCGAGCATTTTTGGGGTGTTACATACAGTTTCACATTTAATCCACAATAATAACCATATGAGGCAGGTATGATTATTAGTTCCACTTTAGAGATGATAAAGCTAAGCCAGAAAGAAACTAAGTAGTTAATCCAAGAATACAGTACCATGATTAATGGAGCCAGAATTTGAATTCGGGCAATTACCTCCAAATGTTTCCTCTGAACAAGCACAAATTATTTTTCAGTTTGTATATTCTTTTGCATTGGCTGTGCCTCTTATCTAGGAGTACAGTCTATTTTTCCATTATCTTCATTTTTGAGACAGAGTTTTGCTCTTGTTGCCCAAGCTGGAGTGCAATGGCATGATCTCAGCTCACTGCAACCTCTGCCTCCTGGGTTCAAGTGATTCTCATGCCTGTGCCTCCCGAGTAGCTGGGATTACAGGCGCACACCACCATGCCCAGCTAATTTTTTGTATTTTTAGTAGAAACGGTTTCACTGTGTTAGCCAGGCTGGTCTCGAATTCCTGACTGCAGGCGATGTGCCTGCCTTGGCCTCCCAAAGTGCTGGGATAACGGGTGTGAGCCACCATGCCCGGCCTATTTTTCCATTATCTTAAATTTATGCTGACTTTGTGATTTACTTTAACCAACAGAATATGCTTGAAATCTGGAGCCTAGGCCTCAAGAGACCTTGCAACTTCCACCTTTACCCTGTTAAAAATACTATCCTGAAACAGCAGGTAAGGATCTAGTCCAGCCTGTTAAAGAATGAGAGGCCACTGAGAAGAGAATTAAAATGTCCCAGCTAAGAATCAGCACTAATTCTCAAAGATGTGATGAAGCTACAATATACCTTCCCACCAAGCCAAAAGTGCAGAGGACACACCAAGACAATGCATAGGACCCTGAGAATTAATATGTAATTGTAGTTTTAAACCACTTAGTTTTGAGGTAGTTTGTTGTGCAACAATAAGTAATTGATATAGAAGTTGGTCCCTAAAACTGCATTGCTGACAGTACAAAATCTAAAACATATGGCCTTGGTTTTGGGAGTAGGTGGTAAAAAGAGACTACAAAAGTATCAAGGAGAGAGTAAGTGGATTCTGAGTGTCCATTGCTATTGAAGCCTTGAGAAAAGGTGACCTACAGTGTGTAATAGAAGAACAATTTACAACAATGCCACCTGAAACACTTGCAAGATAAGAAATTACCTAGTATATTTGTGAATCTGGTCAAGGAATTTTGCACATAACATGTCAAAACTGTAAACTGGCATCTGATAACTTTATATGATAAGGTATGAGAATGCAGAGATAAACTAAAATTCAAGGAGCAATGAAAATTTTCAGAAGACTCAGTTCATATTTTGTGTTGGAAAATAAACCTGTTTCTCTTCTCCATTTTTCTTTATAAAAGAAATATTTCAAAATAAGAAATGGCTTTATGGTGTTAAGATTGATTCCAAAAATTAAGATTGCTACTTAGTAGACCCTCTCAACTGAAACAAATAGTTATTATGAGAATCATAAGGGTGTGTCTTAGCTTTTGTTTGTTAGTCTATTTTTTGTTTTTGGTACTGCTATACCAGGATATCTGAGATTGAGTAATTTGTAAAGAAAAGAAATTTATTTCTTATGGTGCTGGAAAATAGGAAGTCCAAGATCAAGACCCTAGCATCCAGTGAGGGCCTTCTTGCTACATCGTTACATAGCAGAAGAGCAGAAGAGCAAACGAAGCAAATGCTGAGTGAAGCCTCTTTTATTAGGGCCTAAATCTCATTAACAAGAGAGAAGCCTTCATGGCCTAATCACTTCTTTTAGACTTCACATATTAATACTATCGTATTGGCAACACCTGAATTTTGGACAGGCACATTCAAACCGTAGCAAGGCATTATACCTTACAACTTTCACACACTGCTCAAGTAGAAAAAGGTCTGCCTCAAAATAGATTATGGTTGTAATTTTTGGATGATGGGGGAAATGTCATTGTAAACTAGAAGATTTTCAAATAAAGATACAACAAAAACATTATCCGCTTGAGATAAAAGGAACAGTGACAGATCAAAATGAACATAGGCCTCTGGAAAAACTACTCAACCGCAAACATGGACCATTTCTTATTTTTTAAAAAAGGAAGAATGTCTCTAGAGGACTGAACCATGAGCCATAGGTCATGAGCTCAAAGCCTAGAGGGCAGAGTCAAGAACTGAGGAGAAAATGAATCATCCTCAAGTATTGTTTCCTGTTCTAAGAGTAAGGAGAGCTGATGGCACATACCCCAGCTAAATTTCAGAAGAGCTGGAATGCTGTAGACCATTGACTGCTATGATTCCCCATTTTCACCCCACATTTTTTAAACATGGAAATGTCTACCGTAATCATTGTTCTGTTCCTGTTTCCTCATTATATGTTAGGGGAGGGGAAGTAGATATCTTGTCTTTTTATTTCACAGATCTGTCAAGAGAAATAACATCAGAGAACTCACATCTGAGAAGCCTGACCCAGACCTAACGCAGGTTGTGAGATTAAAATCCTCAAGTGTGATGCCGTGATTTTCTGAGATGTTGGGGATATTTGGAAAGGTGAACACATTTTCCATATAGGGAGTATATAAATAATTGTGATAAGAAGGTAGACTAGAGTAGATTAAATAATGCCATAGTTTTTGTTTTGTTTTGTTTTTTGTTTTTTGTTTTTCTGAGTTTCTCCCATCAATAGATGGGGACTGTTTCCCTTCTCCTTGAATCTAGGGTATTTTTTTGAGTTGTTCTGATCCACACAATGTAGTAGAAATGACAAGTTCTGGAGTCTAGGCCACAGAGGTCTTTCACATTACACCTTTGCTCCTTGGAATGCTACAATTAGACTCCAGGATAGGAAGCCAATTTAGCCCAGCATAGAAGAGAGGCCGCATGGAGTAGAACCAAGATGTTCCAACCAACTGCCAGGCATGTGAGTGAAAAACATCTTGGGCCACTCGGCCTATCCAACTCTCTTATTAAATGCAGACACATGGGTAGGCTAGGAGTAAGCAACAATAGGGATCTTCTAGCTTACCTACAGAATCCTGAGAAGCAGATTAACAGATCATCGTTATCCCACTACGTGATTTTTAAAGTAGCATTATATGACCAAACATATAATATATTTTTGCTCACTACTGTACCCTAGCTTTTAAAATTTTTGTTTAAGTGTAACTGATACACACAAATTGCCTATATTTAATATGCACATTTTGATGAGTTTGGACATATGCATATGCACATGATATTGTCATTACAATCAAAGAATTAAACATATTAATCATCTTAAAACTTTTCCCCATGTTCTTGTGTGTGAGTGTGTGGTGGTGGTAAGAACGCAACATGAGATCTATCCTTTTAACAAAGAGGATAGGTGACAGAGTTGAAGTTGTTGAAGAGAATGGTTTCTTCAACAAATGTTGTGGGGAAAATTGGATGTCCACCTCCAAAAGAATGAAATTGGACCCCTATCTTACCCACAGGCACACACAAAAAAATGAAGTGCACAATATTTTATTAACTATAGACACTGTGTTATATAGAAGATCCCTAGAAGTAACCCATCTTGTAAAACTGAAACTTTGTACCCATTAAGCAACAATTTCACACTTTCTTTTTCCCCAAACACCTGGCAACCACCACTCTATTCTCTGCTTCTGTGAGTTTGACTATTTTAGATACCTCATATAAGTGTAGTCATGCAGTATTTATCCTTCTGTGACTGGGTTATTTCACTTAGCATAATGCCCTCTAGGTTCATTCACATTTTCACAAGATGTAGAATTTCCTCCATTTTCAAATTGCTAAATAGTATTTCACTGAATGTATATACCGCTTTTTAAAAATCTGTTTATCTGTCAATAGATGTTTGGATGGTTTCCATATTCAGAAGTAAAATCTTCTTTTTTTGCAGAAGACATGATCTTATATAGAAAACCCTAAAGACATCATGCACAAAAAAACCCTCAAAACTATTAGAACTAATATACAAATTCAGCAAAGTCACAAGATAAAAAATCAACATTCAAAAATTACCTGTATTTCTATATACTAACAATGAACTATCGAAAAAGTAGATTAATAAAACAATACAATTTATAATAGCATAAAAATATAAAATATTTAGAAAGAAACTTAACCAAGGAAATGAGAGACTTCCATACTAAAAACTATAAAACACGAAAATGAAAGCAGATACAAACAAACAAAAAGATATCTCATGTTTCCAGATTGGAAGACTTAATATTGCTTAAATGTTTACCCAAAGTGATGTACAGATTCAATGCAATTCCTATCAAAATTCAAAAGCCATATTTTACAGAAACAGAAAAAAAAATCTAAAATTAATGTGAAACAAAAAAGATCCCAAATAGACAAAGTGAGAAAGAGGAACAATGCTGAAGACATCACCCTTCTTGATTTCAAAGCTAGAGTAATCAAAACAGTGATACTGGCATAAAGCCAGACACATAGACCAATGAAACGGAATAAAGTACCCAGAAATAAGCATGGGCATATATGGTCCTCCACAAGTGTGTCCAGAATACACAATGAGAAAAGGATAGTCACTTCAAAAAACAATGCTGAAAAAATGAGATATCTGCATGCAAAAGAATAAAATGGGATCCCTATTTTATATTATACACAAAAATCTACTCAAAATGGTTTGACAACTTAAACATAAGTTCTGACACTGTAAAACTTCTTGAAGAAAACACAGGGAAAAAAACTTCTTAACACTGGTCTTGGCAATGATTTTTAAAAATTTTTTTGACACCACAAGCACAGGATTTTGTTTTTTTGTTAAGCCAAACAGTCTAGTTGGACTACACCAGACTAAAAATTTTATGCACAGCAAAGAAAATAGTCAACAAAGTGAAATTGCAACCTGTAAATGGGAGAAAATATTTGCAAACCAATCTATTTAATAAGATATTAATATCTAAAACATATAAGAATCTCCTACAACTCAGTAGAAAAAACAAAGAACCCTCAAATAATCTGTTTAAAAAGAGGGGAAAGGAGTTGAATAGGCATAAGGTCTTATACACATTGTCACCAGGGTTTTGAAAAAATGCTTAACATTAAAAATCATCAGGAAAAGGCAGACCAAAATCACAAGGAGATACTACTTCACACTTATTAGAATGATTATTTTCAAAAAGCAAAAGATAAGTGTTGGTAAGGATGAAGAGAAACTGCAATTCCTACACATTATTGAAAAGAATATAGAATTGTGCAGCTACCATGAAAAACGGTGATTCCTCTAAAAAGAGAGCTACCGCAGGATCCAACAACGTTCCCTACCTTGTAAAGCTGTTTGTGAAAGGTGAGAAGTAGGTTTTGGTTTGAGGGATAGATTGTATAAATGGTTGTGTGTTTGTGTATGTAAACGTTTTAGAATGTGAAAATCTGGGACACATTTGGCGTATGGAACAAAATATGAACAAGACATGGGTAAACAGAGGACATACAAATCTATGAACCTGACATAAAAAATAAGAAATTATGACAAGCAGTTATATGCCAATAAATTTGGGAAATTTTAACATAGATAAACAGATTTCTTGACTGAACTAAAAGTGGTAGAAAACTTGAGTAATATAATTATTAATCATATTAAGTAATTTAAAAATATCTCCTCAAAATAAATAAATAAAACAAGCTCATATGGTTTGATAGGATATTTTGCATTTAAGAAGTGGTAATTTCAACTTTAACCTCATTCTTTCAAAGAAGGGAAAATGAAGGAACACGCCTTAATTAATTTTATAAGTTGTGTTGCCTAAATATTAATGATAAAAATTTTAACAAAGGAGGCACAATAAAGAAAAAAATGGCCATTAATACATTTAGATGGTAAATTCCTAGAAATTAGATTACCAAAATGGTGATATTCAGGTTTATCATAGAAATAAATGCTTGATTTTTCCTTAAAAATATATAGCATTTAAATACTACATCTTATCAGTTTAAAGGAAAAGAGTAAATATTATTTTCTCAATAGGTATAAAAAAGCAGAGCACGTCCTGCATAAATTTATTATCAGCATTTGTGGGTCATTAGGTGAAAGAGTCAGATGTACCACTCCCCATTTGGCTTTTTGGTACCTAGATCCATTTATTTTGGCTAAGGAAGAAAAAACATCACATAGTGGAGGCTGCATCCTTTTGTGTATTAGCCCAATCTCACAAAGTATTGTCTCCCAGCTAGAGCCGCCATAAATGAGTCTTTAATATTTTATTTCACCCTTCTTCTTGGTTAGTTGCTTCTGGGTGATGGAGTATATAATAGGGAAAAATCATTGAATATTATGACATCAGCCTTCTGCCTTTCTTCTCTATATATATACTGAGCTCCTTAGTCAAAAGAAATACTGTGTAGAACGTTGCAATAATAAACAAAGTTTCTAACTACTGAGGAGTTGTGTATGGCAGAAGTAGGCAGAAAACCCAAATCAGTATCTACTATAAGAATCTACTCACTGAGGAAAAATTCTGTCTAATGTATTCTCCATGACAAAAGAGATCCAATGTAACTGGCTTATCACCAGGTGACTGAATATTGTTCTTTGCTCCTAGTAGATAAGGTACTCAGCAGTGCCTGTAGTCAGATTAAATAGAGAGGTCGGGGAGAAGCCAGAGAGGGTGGAGGGTGGTACTTTTTGGAAAATTCATGCAAAATATGTTTTTTTAATCTCTTACTTAACAAGTTCAATGAGCAAACACTGAGGTTAATATAGTAAAAAACAATGGCTGACATTGATAGAATAGGTTTTTTAAAAATAACCGACCATTGAGTGTTTCCTCATTTGCACTGAGTTTTCATATCAGAATCAGAAACTTTTACTTTCTAGGCCTCTTCTGTAATGATTCTTCCACACAATCCTGGACATGCCCAACATTATGGCTTCGTGAATGAGATGACACTGGGTTCAGTATGAGAAGTTCAGGTTCTTAACTCGGAAAGCATGAATTTTCCTCCCAAACACCATTGGTTCACAGTGCAATTCCCCATCAGTGTTTGACGTAGTGTCCACAGAGTACTGCAATCTGACAAGAGGCACATTACACACTCTCGAATTCAATGAATCATAAGCACAAGCGGCAACACTCCTTGCACTACAGCCGGACCAGCTGGAAGACCTACATTTTTCTGAATCACACCCAAAGCTCTCAGTCTTGTGGGTTACTAAGTAAATTAGTAGCAGCAGCATTTCCAGATATATATGTATATATAATCCAAATTTGTCCAGCATGTATTGTTTCTTTTTCCCAGAGTTAAGGAGATCTGAATTGGTCCAGCATGCATTGTTCCTTTTTCTTAGAGCTAAGGAGTCAAAGATGCAACTTATTTTGCACTTTGGAGAAAGCATTACAACATTCTCAAGACAACTGAACAGTCAGAAAATGTATTTCAGTGGCAAAAACCTGAAAGTCCTTCAGTTTATTTTCCACTGCCTACCATGCATGTATCTTTCAAGGTATCTAGTATATCTAGTACTTACCAATCAATATACTTTATCAGCATAGACAATCAGTGGATGGACCAGCATGATTTCCTATAGGAAGCAAGATAATTAAGGTCACACTGAGCTAAATTATGGAGTCAAGCCCAGGAATTAATGAAGCCTTGTGGCAAAACAGTACTGTTACACGCTGCTAGCTGAAAGTAAGTGGCTTCTGATGCTCTTTGTTTATTGGTATTGAGAAAAAAGTGCATTAATCAGCTTGATAGCTAATTTTCCAGGTGTCAAGAACTATATTTCCCATCTTCATTAAGGAGCAAATGTAATTGGAGACACTTCTTGATTGAGCTCATGATAGGCCACTATCATTCTCTATGATCTATCAGCTTTCTACATAGGCCAGTGTTAAATGGAACTGTGATAGGTATAACTGCCTCGGTGGGTGAAAATTGCATCCTTCAGTTAATCTGGGCAAAAGCTTTGGAACCATTCTTGATTTCTCTCTTTCTCTCACACACACATCCAATTTGCCAAGAAATTCTCTCAGGCTCATAGCCTCCAAACTGCTTTCATACTTTCCTTTATCTTTGTCCCTTACCCTTGATTTTCATTGTGGCAACAGTGAAATTCTTTTAAAATGTAAGGCAGACCATGTCACTTGTCCACTCAAAATGCTGCAGTGATTTTCCATTTCACTCAGAGAAAAAGCTGAAGTCTTTACCATAGTTTACAAAGCTCTATGGGTTCTGGGCCACATTTAGTCTCTGACTTTATCTCCTGATCTCTCTTGGTACCCACTCCAGCCATACCAGCCTCCTTGCTATTCCTCAAATAGCCCAGTCACTCTCCTGCATAAAGTTCTTTATTCTAGTTGTTTCTGCTGCTTGGTATGCTTTTTCCCTGTAAATCCATAAGCCTCTTTATTTTCTTCAAATCTTTGCTAAAAATTTCCAGGCTGCTCTATTTAATATAGCCAACTCCCATCCTCCCCGTGTGAATCCATCATTCCTGCTGATTGCCTATACTCTGTTCTACATATTTTTACAATTTTCACCTGAGATATACTACATATTTATCTTACATCTTTTGCTTACTGTGTTTATTACTTACTATTTGTCTTCCTCTGCTAGAATGAGATACCTATGATTTTAGGATCTTTCTTTGATTTTTGTTCATTGATATATCTAAAAGTGAAGAATGGTGTATGAAAAAGAAGAAGAGAAATATTTGAACACATGAACAGTGTGTTAGTCCATTTTGTGTTGCAAAAGATGTTTATTTGGCTTGTGGTTCTGCAGGCTGTACAAGCATGGCACCCACATCTGCTCAGCTTCTGGTGAGGTCTTAGGAAGTTTTTAATTATGGTGGAAAGCAAAGGGGGAGCAGGCATGTCACATGGTGAGAGAGGGAGCAAGGGAGAAAGGGGGAGTTCCCGGACTATTTTTAAAAATCAGATCTTGCCATCTCGTATTAACTCATTACCATGGGGAGAACACCAAGCCATTCATAATGGATCCACCCCCATGACCCAAATGCCTCCCGCTAGACCAACCTACAACATGGGAGGTTACATTTCAGTATAGGATGTGGAGGGGACACACATCCAAACCGTAACAAATCTTTAAAACTTGTTAAGTGTAATAAGGCAAATTGCAAAAATGCATATTATGAAATTTAATTTACATAAGTACACAAAATGAAAACTCTAATATTTTGTTTAGGAGCTCATCCATATATATTAAATATGAGGAAAAAAAGCAAGAAATGACAATCTCATAAGTCAGAATAGTAGTTATTTTTAAGTTTAAGGAGGGAAATTTAATTCAGAAAGGGACCACAAGTTACTTTAAGAATAAAGATGATGTCTAATACTTCTCCGACTACAAGTCAAACTAGTATTTGATTATTCTTTATGTTTTTTTCTTTTGTATGAATTAAACATTTAACAAAATAATATTTTAATTTTTAATTTTAAAAAGTTGTTAGTATAAAACAAAAAAGAAGAGATAAAGAGGGCATTTTCACCCTTGTGCTGAGTAGATATTCGTTTATTGATGCGTGCATTCATTCGTGCATTGAATACACACTCTCATAGAATGTATTATTTATTAGGCACTGTCCTTGGTCCTAGGAATACCAGTGAAAACAATAAGGGAGACCAACAAAAACATTTTGTCCTCCCAGACTTTAATGTTGATGTGAGAACCAAGAAAGAAAGAAATATATGAATACACAGGCCATTAGATGTTTGTAAATATAATGAATGTGGTATTTTACAAATAATAAAAAGAAAAGGCCTCTCCGAGCTGAAACCTAAGAACTAGGGGATCCAGGCCATGTAAATATCTTGGAAAAAATATTTTAGGTAGATGGAAAATCTGGTGTGTAATTCCTGACTTTGGAGCATTTGGGAAATAGTAATGTGTCCTACGCAACTCAAAAGCCAAGCAGTCAAAGGGCAAAGTTGTAGAATATGAGGCCAAACTGTATTATACGGGCTTTATATTCTACCCTGCATCAGAAAGAAAGACCTGTGAGGCTTGATCAAAGAAAGAGTATAACTGGAACATTTAAAACAGGAGCTGTATTCGTCCGTTGTTACATTGCTATAAAGAACTACCTGAGACTGGGCAATTTATAAAGAAAAGAGGCTTAATTGGCTCACAGTTCCACAGGCTGTATGGCTGAGGAGGCCTCAGGACATTTACAATCATGGCAGATGGTGAAGAGGAAGGAGGCACATCTTACATGACTAGAGAAGGAGGAAAAGAGAGAAGGGGAAAGTGTTACACACTTTTATAAACAACCAGATCTTGTGGGAACTCTCTCACTGTGGTGAGAACAGCTAACATAAAATCTGCCCTCATGATCCAATCACCTCCCACCAGGCCCCTGTTCCAACACTGGGGATTATAATTTGACATGAGGCTTGGATAGGGACACAGACCCAAACCATATTAGGAGCTATTCTGGTTGTAGAAAGATGAAGGCAGAAGCAGGGAAACTTGTTACAAGATGCGGTATAGTTCAGGCAGGAGACAATAGGAACATGGGCCACGGTATCACACAGTAGGTGATGGTGATCCTGGGTATATTTTGAAGGTTTGCCTGATGGGTCAGATGTGGGTTTTAAGAGAAAGAGAGGGGTAAAAGATAGCATTAGGGTCCGTAACCTGAGCAATTGAAAGATGGAACTATTTGCTAAGATAGGAAAGACTGTGGACAGAGCAGGATTCAAGTTCAGATTTAAAGATACTAAATTTGAGACATAAAGCAGATTAAGCGATTGGTCACAGAAACCTAGAGTTCAGGAAAGCAGTCTAGAGATACATATTTTGTGAATGATCAGAACACAGATGATTTTTAATGGCATATGACTGAATGGAATAACCTTAGACTTGTGTGTAAATAGAATATTTCCAAGGACTAAGCCTTGACGTTCTCCAATATTTGAAGCCAAAGAGTTGCGAAGCCAGTGAAGGAGTCTGAGGATGACTGGCCCGTGAGAATAAACAAGAGAGGCTGATGAATATTCCTGCAGCCACGCTAAGGAAGTGTTTCATGAAAAAATGAGTGCTCAATTGTGGCAAATATGGCCATCATATTAAAAAAAATTGTTGCAGGGCACAGTGGCTCAACGCCTGTTATCCTAACACTTTGGAAGGCCGAGGAGGGTGGATCATCTGAGGTCTGGAGTGTGCAGCCAGCCTGGCCAATATGGTGAAACCCCCTCTCTACTAAAAATGCAAAAATTAGCCAGGCATGGTGGAGGGTGCCTGCAATCCCAGCTACTTGGGAGGCTGAGGGAGAAGAATCACTAGAACCTGGGAGGCAAAGTTTGCGGTGAACCGAGACTGCACCTTGCACACCAGCCTGGGTGACAATAGTGAAACTGTCTAAAACAAAAAATTGTCTACCGGAGTAACGTGGAGTAAACCTGAAGGAGAGCTGCTTTTGTAAAACATTGAGAGCAAAATAAATATGAGCAGAAGCATTGGAAATCTTGAGAATAGACACCAGAAAGCTAAACAATTTTCATTTTTATTAAAAGGAAAGATAGTTTCAATTCTCTTGAAGTTAGATAGAAGGTTTATTTTTAATATTTTTGATAGTACTTTTAGGAAAGTTCGTATCTTTACCTGATTTCTGCCTTATTGGGTGGTTCAGATCAACAGTTCATATGAGAGTTTGAGTCATTTGACTTTGTTCACTACGAGTAGGATATTTTACAATTCATTTTTCACTCTTTTCCCTCTGCAGAATCAAAATGTTCTTGGCATTCATGATTCCTGGGAATCCACCAGGGCATCAGGCACCAGTTTTCTTATGGGAATCTTTAGCAATCAGCAGCTACAATCAGCTGCCAGCCATAACAAGAACAATGTTTCAGCTGCAGATCTGAAGCCAGTTGGAGAGGGATCTTGAGCTCATTATTCTTTTATGGATGTTGATGGTGGTGAACCAGACATTGCACTGATAGTCTTTCTTTCAACATTTACAGTTATCATAAC
The DNA here is from genome assembly GCF_000001405.40 of Homo sapiens. Lineage (NCBI taxonomy): Eukaryota > Metazoa > Chordata > Mammalia > Primates > Hominidae > Homo > Homo sapiens. Next base: position 92,259,192 of record NC_000006.12, on the reverse strand, counting down.
TAAACCATTTTAATATCGTATAATTTTATTCAATTGTCTTTTTAAAAAGATTAGGGATGCTGCACAGAAAATATCCCACAGTATTTTTAAGACTTCCACATGTGTGAACATAGTAAATGTGGAAGCTGAATTTTTTCCTTGCTTTTATACAGCACTATCAACTTTATCTGTCACTAACTTTCAACTTACATTTCTTAACAACCCCACTGATTCTTTCCCTGGTTGTTTGCTTCTTTTATTGATCTCTCTTTTCCAAAGGCATAGGCAGTACCAAGCACAACAAACAATTTAAGGTCTTTATTTGTCTCTTAAGTCAAACAATTTAAAATCCATCCGATGATATTATCTCTTCAGCTCATAAACTTTGTAGTGGGCCTCAAAACACAAGTTTATGTTCTCCAAGTATAATCTTATCCTAATTTCTTTTTCTCTGTTGCTAAACAAGACCTTTCTTAGTTGCCCACTATGTTTGTTCTATCAATTTTGGATTTGCTAAAGAGTGGCAGATAAACATTCATTAAATTTAATTACCCATGTCATACATTCCTATGAAATTTTCATAAATATGCATTAAATATAATCTTAGCTTCCTTTTATGTTGTGTGTCACTGTAAAGGTTGTCTGAGGTATTGTTTATTCACATTTAGTTATATCCTCAGGGTTATCATTTGTTATCCTGCAGAGTTTAGTAATGTTCTAATTCTCTGGCTGTTTTCTAACCACATGAAGACTTTATAGTTCTCATTCTGTTTGTGACGTGAAAATAAAATATTTTCTCTAAAAATGAAACTAACACTTTATCAAATACCTTATTTTATTCCTCTCTTTGCATCAAGCTCTGCTGAAGTTTGTTACAAAAAGTCTTTTTTTCAGATCTCATGCTCGACTTTAATGGGTATTACATTTATTTTCATTACTCATGACATAAAGAATTTTCAAAATTTTTGTGAACAAGGCTAGGTAACTTCTTAGACTTCATATTCCTTTGTACCCCAGTCTGTAGGTCATATATTATAGAGGGATTGGTGATAAAGTGGTGAACAAGATAGACACAGATCCTGCCCTCATAGACAATTGACCAGAGATAACCAATAGAACAGGTAAGTGAATAACAGCAAAAGGAGAGGGGCTCATCCAGTCCTTAGGCTTGAACGTTTCTTCACCTTTTATTCAGGTACCCCTCAGGATTCCATGGTAGAATGCTATTCAACTGGGATTCCTATTCTCTGCAGTTGAGAGCCTTATATTAAAGGAATAAGACATAGACGTACTTTGTGAGCAGCATTTATCTTGAGAACTGAGAGCTTGTGAAACAGCAGTAGAAGCAAGCCAAACATAAATTTGCCAACTTTAGGATTTTGCTCAGTGTTAACATCATTGGGATTAAATTGTTGAAATGCAAGAAGGATACTTCTAATATATTTTTCTTTGCCATACGGTCTCTGTCTTACACCTGTCATCCTAAGATTACTTCAAGTCTTTAGATCAACTTTTGGCTCTGAAATAGGAGCCTGCATTAAAAGGAGCTTAGTCAGAAAATTATCTAGTAAAGTCTACTTCTTTTAATTATTATTATTATTATTTTTTTAAACGGAGTCTTGGTCTTGTCGCCCAGGCTGGAATGAAGTGGCATGACCTCAGCTCACTGCAACCTCTGCCTCCCAGGTTCAAGCAATTCTCCTGCCTCAGCCTCCTGAGAAGCTGGGATTACAGGCACCTGCCACCAACCTCGGCTATTTTTTGTATTTTTAGTAGAGACGGGGTTTCACCATGTTGACCAGGCTGGTCTCAAACTCCTAACCTCGTGATCCGCCCACCTTGGCCTCCCAAAGTGCTGGGATTACAGGCCTGAGACACCACGCCCAGCACTTTTCATCTTCTGTGAAGAGCATATGTGAATCTAACCCAACCACTATGTTGAATACCACGTTTGTTTGTAGAATTTGTGGAAGGAAATGAATAAAGAAAAATGTAATGTACTACTAATTCATGATTATGCTAGACCAAGAACAAAATGGTATGTTAAGGCCATATAAACCTGCAGAAGCTGAGAAAGGATGCTTCAATAATGAATAATATAAAAAGTACAATTAGATGAGCAATATAAACAGAAAGTGTCTTCAAAAATATTCACAGAAAGCATTCAGTGCACAGCTTCCAGGATTTTCAGAAAAGAAAATGCAAAAATGGGTGCTGGTTTTCAGAGACAGGATACTTTTCCTGGTACAAAAATAGTGGCTAGGCCTAAGAGGACATGGCTGGGATTTACTCACTAAAATAAGAATTTGGCTAAAGAAAAAGGCAGGCAATAAATGATCTACAAGTTACCAGCAATGAAACTAAACTGATGCTAGACCAACGAGCTAAAGTCCTGGGATGTGTTTAGTATTCCTACCTTATTCACAGTTTAGATTTCCATGATATTGGTTATGTGGGGCCGACCACGGTCTAAAAATATTAAATGAAAAATTCCAGAAATAAACTATATATTTTAAATTACACACAGTTTTGAGGAGTATGATGACATTTTGTGCTGTCCTGCTGTGTTCCAGGACATGAATCCTCCTTTTCCAGTGTATCCATGCCCTAGATACTCACTGCTCACTAGTCACTTAATATTAATAGTTGTCTAGGTTATAAGATGGACTATCACTATATCACAGTGCTTGTGTTCAAGTAACCCTTATTTTATCTAATAATGGCTTCATAGTGCAAGAATAGGAATGCTGTCATATTGTTATCATTGTTATATTTTAATATGAGTTATTGTTGTTAATCTCTTCTGTGCCTAATTTATAAATGAAAGTTTATCATAGGTATGTATATATAAGGAAAAAAGCATAGTATACATAGGGTTTGGTACTATCCATGGTTTCAGTCATCCACTGGGGATATTGGAATGTACCTCCTGTGGATAAGGGGCAGCTACTGTATTCTGTTTTCCTGTGACAAAATGGAATCTATAATAGGGAGATGCTGACATAATCTTAATTTACAAATTAGGAAATTGGAGAGGGTTTGGTCGAGGTAAATAAAACTCAGAGATGACCTTGAGTTTATGCCAGTGAATAATCTTTATAAGAGGCAACACTGTGAGCATTTTGTGCTGTTGTTACAAGGCTGCCGAACTGACTGTCTTCCAGTAACTGACAAGAACTTTCTTCCCAGTTGTGAGTGACCAGAGATTTGTCACAGCACCAGTAGCTTCAATGATTTGAAAAACGTCTTGACTGGAAGCACATCCTCAAGTTCAGTTTCAAAACCTTAGAAATTTATATACACTTTAGTGAATATTAATCTGATTCAAGCAGACCATTTTCCCCATGAATTATAAAGGGTTTGAATAACCCAACACTTTTCTGAAATGTTGTCTTTTTTCTCCAGTCATATCCCTGATGAGTAGTTTTTTTCTTAGTCCCTCCTGACTTGACATTCTCATTATTCATTTTTGGACACTTGTTTATCCACATTTCCCCAAATCACTTCCTGTTTATAGATTGCACCAAGTTTTAGTCTAGAGTGCTTTGAATATAATGACTGATTATGCTTCCATTCCTGGAAACAATACTGAGTATGCCAGTCACAGTTCTGTAAACTTGTTTACCCTTTAGGGAGGAATATTTGATCTTATCATTTCCTGAAATTTACCTCTTTTTAATTTACAAATGATTACACATAGCTGAGCCTCTACTTCAGGGATTTGATAATGTCTCTACTTAGGAGTAGAGACCTACTCTTTGATTCTGTATCTGTCTTCACATCAATGGAATATTCTACTCTTACTAAAGTAAATCTGACATATTAGCAGAAGATTGATATAATGCATTTGGTGAATTCAATAAAACTGCAACTTGCCTTTTACTGTTAATAATTTCCTTCCATGTTTTAAAAATCTTTCCTAAAAAGTAGCTGAACATTTGTCCCATTGTTTATAATTTTTTATATCTTTCAGTACCAAACTCACCATTATCTTAATTATTAGCTTTATGTGCTTATTAAAATGATCTCAAATTGTATATATTTTATACTTATTTTTAGCCTCAGTTTTTCTGTTTTCATATGTTATGACACTATTGTGATTTTTAAAGTAATAATCTTAAATAAAAGTAAAAATATTTAATGTTTTAAAATAGTATTTCTATGATTGTATTGAGTTTAAAAAAATTTTTCTTTGACTTTCAGAGAGCTTAGACTTTTTCTTAAGTGTACTAGATGACTACAAGGGGTTTGAGTTCTCAGGAGAATCTTATGATTGAACTGTTAATTGCTGTGCATTTAAGCTGCCTCAATCAAGAGTCAATATAATCAATTATGTAAAAATCTATTGTCTTTCAAGTAGAATATATGTAAAAACTAGTATTACTTATTTGATATATTTCTAGGTTTTATTTCAATAACTTTCTTTTTTTTTTTTGAGACGGAGTCTTGCTCTGTTGCCCAGGCTGGAGTGCAGTGGCGCGATCTCGGCTGACTGCAACCTCTGCCTCCCGGGTTCACGCCATTCTCCTGCCTCAGCCTCCCAAGTAGCTGGGACTACAGATGCCTGCCACCACGCCAGGCTAATTTTTTTTTTTAATTTTTAGTAGAGATGGGGTTTCACCGTTTTAGCCAGGACTTCCTGCTAACTGTGCATTCAGTAACATCATACTGGTGGCCTGGAATTGGCCATGGTGGGAGTATTTACACCACAGAAATCAACAAATGCTGCAAATCAGAGGTTTGGGTTTTGAGAAGCAAAGTGTTAATTATTTACCAGCAACTGCTAATAAAAGCTCAAAATTAAAGTCTATAAAATAAACAAGTACAATGAAAATGGCAATACTTCCCCCAAATTTCATCACCTAGGGATTTTCTTTAATAGTATTTTGGTGTAATGTAACCTTCCATGTAGTGATATAGTAACAATTTGTGTGTTAATACAAAACAAAACAGGCAAATTCCAATAAAATAATTGATTCAGACAAAGGGTATATAATGCAGTGGCCAGAATTCCAGTATGGCCTCCAAGATTTCTGCTCCCTGATTTGTATAACCTCCTCTTCTCAATGTTGGTAGTTACCCATGAATATGCTGGGAAAGCACACTCATAATTTGGCTAATCGTAAGTTGGGCTTGAGTCACTCTCAAGAGAGATTATCCTGGCGGGACTAACTTAACTAGATGAGCATTTTTAAAGAAGGTAAAGTATCAGAGGGATGCTCTCCTGCTGGCCTAGAAGAAAACAAGAGTCATGTTGTGAACTGCCCATGGAGGCAACCATCTAATGGCTTCTAAACAGAGTTATCCCCAGCAAACATCCAGCAAAACAAAACCAAATACAGACTCCATCCTACAATCATAAGTAACTGATTTTTGTTAACAACCTGTATAGTCTTGGAAGACGATGCCAAGCTCCAGATGAAGTTGCAGCCCTGGTGAACATCTCGATTTCAGTGTATACGTCTCTGAACAAAAGCTTCACTGCCAATAGAAACATATTGAGATAATAAATGAATGCCAATATAGGCTGCTAAATTTGTGGTAATTTGCTATTCAACAATAGAAAACTAGTACAGCTTGGAGGAAACATTCAACAATTTTTAGAGAATGGTGACTGACTGACACAGAATGAAGGAAAAAGAGATCCAACTATAGGGCTTTTAAGAATGAGTCTTCATATTCCTCCCAAGGAAGATTAAAAGGCTTCATGATCCAGACCTGGCTATATCACCTGGTTATCCCCTGTAGCACCATATGGAGCTCTGATGGTTGAATGAGAAACAGCACAACCTCTTGAAACTTGGATTCCCACTATTGTGGGAGAAATGGAGTAGGATAGAGACAAACAGATAGTAGATTTCAGTCTACAAAGGTTTAACTTTTTGTTGGTGGGGTCAGTGCCTTGGACTTTGTTTCAGGGGTGTTAGTAAAACATAGTTGCAAGAAGTGCTACCTAAAAGTCCTTCATAAGGAGCCCTAAGGTTGAGCTTTGAACAGCTGTGTTCCCACAGCTATCATATCTAAAATACCCTGCTGGCCTGGGTTAGGGGCAGATAAAACTAGACTCTATAATATAGAAATCAATATTTTTCTCCTTGTGTCTCTGTGTTTGCAAGAAATGAGGGCAACTCCTGAAGCTGGCTAAAGGCAGATGAAACATCCTCTTTAGCCATGAAGGAAGTCTGGAAAATTATTTTATTGTTTAAATTGGCTTTTCTTTGATAATTTGATATAAGAAATATATTTAACCTTAATACATTTCAAAGCAGTCAGTATGACATTTATGTTTCCATTGCATTAATTAATTTTTAAGATTTTTGTCAAGTATTAAGCATTTTTGTTAAGTCCTTTTAACTGTTTAGAAAGACATAATAAAATAAAACAAAAATACAATATTTGGTGACATTTTTGTGAAAATGATAATTTATCCTCTAAAATTAAAAAAATCAATTTCATGGTGTGAAATTTTATTTCAGATACTTGATGACCATCAACTTAAATAAAGTGGATATTATTGATAATTTTAAGTTGTGAAAAACAAAAATATATATAATTGTATGTTTTATGAATATACTTATAATGTATGGAGAGAGAGAGAGACAAAAAATTAAGATAAAAAAATTATCTATGTGGCAGTTAGAGACATATTTGAATGAGTTAACAAAATGAATTTGAAAGAATGAGCAATCCGTAACTAACATAATTTGATAATCTAAATTTCTTGGTAGTCTGTGAGACTCTGGCAAGTCTACTTGGCGTCATTAAAGTTTATGCATGTAGAATTTGGTACAAATCCCTGTCCCATGACTGTGTCCTGTCTGTGAGAGCCAGCCTTGACAACTTTGAAAAAGAGTAGAGGGAGAATTTCTTACATCAATGGGTGATTGAGTCACCAATATCAAGATCTTTACACAAGCCAAAATAGAGGACAATAGTTACTAGCTGAGTTTGTAACCCAGAGAAGGGGTTGAAATATTCCTTTTATTAAATTGATGTTCATCAGATTTAATGGATAACATATCTTTCAATTACATCTAGGATTTCATTAATTTAAATAAGATAAAGCAAGAGACATGGGTGTAATCTTGATAATTTAAATGGAATAAACACACTAAGAAGCAGAAGTGTGGACTCATCAAGGAACAAGGGAGAATGAAGCAGGGTTTATCAGGTGGAGTTGGACATGATTATGTTGATTTGGACCCATGTTGGAAACAGAAGCTCTGGTGGAATCCTGGTTTCTCATTTCCTCGTAAAAAGTATCAGCAGTAATCTCTAATGAGTAAACAATGATTTATTTCATTACATTAAAGTTATCAGATCCCCTTACAATTAATGACCCTAGACAAAGTGTTATTACTTGTAGCTCTACCTGGATGCCAACACACAGAATTGTGATTAGCTTAACCAGACTACCCCTTGAAGGAAGTCTGAAAAGGTTCTGTTCAAGCTGTCTGGTGTGGGTGAGGTGGGATGCAATAGTTGGCCTGAAGGCAGCAAAGTATCTCATCCTGGAGCAGCAAAAAGAGACTCAGAGTTAGGAGTGGTCTAATGTCTCTCAGCCTTCCCCTAATGTTGTGACAACGCATAAGTTTTCATTCTCATAAATCAGCTTTGATTTTTCTCTGATTAAGATTTTAAATTTGAGTTGTCTCCATGTATAGAATTAGAATAATTTATGAAAATACAATCTGAATCAGTAACAGAAAGCATTTGCAATGGGGAATTTGGTAGAATATATAGCTTAAATAAAATCACAGACAGAAATAAGATTTAAATTTTTCTCAAATAAACATGTCCAGAATACAAATAGTATGATAGGATGAATCTAAATGGAGGCTTTTTCGAATAATACATGTCTGCTTGGAAACCAACTATTCTACACTGAAATGCTCTTTAGGGAAATGGCCATGTAAAAGACCCCACAGTGATATGGTAGATTGATTAGTGTTTGCAAATACACATCCACATGTCTTTATCCTACCCCCCCACCTCAGGAGTACATATCACATTCTTTCAGTATTGGCTTAATTTCTGACATATTTTCCTTGATGAAATATAAGTCAGTTTGACATATATCCATCCCATCTGAGGAGAAGCTTGAAATGTGATTGAAGAGTTTTCTTAATCTCTTGCTAATTCCCACTGCCAAAAGAAGGGGCATGTCCTAAGTGGTCCTTTTAGCCTTGGTGTTAAAATGGGAGAATTGTGGGGCACAGTCAACCTGAATGAATCAGAGCCACAGTAGTTACAGATAATCTACGGTCACCAACACATACTGAGGCAGGGAATAAATATTATTATAAAACGCTGAGAGTTTGGCTTGTTCGTTTAGCAACAAAGCTGACTAATACAAGTGAGCACTTAAACAGTGGTTAAATAAATGAATAAATATGTATTTTAGAAGTCAAATTTAGTAAAAAGAAAAAGTAAAAATATGCATTATAAACTACAGTTCTATTTTTAAAAATACTTTATTCTATTTTGTTAGAATAACTCTTAACAATTTTTGAATAATGGTTGTTCCATTTTTAATTATGAGCAAGATTTTAATTATAAAGTCATGAGGATGCTATTCAAATACTGACCAATTTTCCAAAAATATTGTGGTTCACTCATGTAATGAGAAATGTACTATTTACAGAGAAAGAATGTTCAGATATTTCTTCACTACAAAATTAATGAAATAGTAATAAATGCTATGGCAATATTAGCCTTATTTCCAATATTTATCAACCTACCATGACTTCCAATTAGCTTTGAAACTCAAATTGAATAAATGTCCTTCAGGAGAGTGATGAGCATATGCAGATTCACATTAAGAACTACCTTTTTCATTAGTTAACAACTTTATTCAAGTCACCTCCAGGCTGATTGTAAACTCCAGCAAGTTTTCAGACTTTAAAATTACACACACACACACACATACACACACACACACACACACACACACAAACTTAAATTGCCTACATTTAAAACATGTCATCATTTTTTACATTAAAAATGTTTAAGTAGGAAAATATTAAAGAAATTCAGTCAAAATCTGATATAAATTATTAGAACATGTACAATTCAGGCAATTGGCATTAATCTGAACAAGACCTGGGATCTTGTTCCAATTTCATTATTTGCATTAATTATGCATTGGCAGTTTATTTTTTATGCATGAGAACTGAGAGAGATACCATTCCTACTGTATATCATAATTGCCATTTCAGAAGTGAAAAATGTTTCATAGCAAATATTGTGAAATATTGGGAAGGCTACTTTAGCTTTATGCTTATATGATTGTGTTTAATCTCATTTTTCCAAATTCTTTGCTAAACTGATATGCAATACTATTATTTCATAAATTTTGCTTTTCAATTTGTTGAATGAAGACACTATGCATATTGGAATTAGCTTCCCATTTTTGAGAAAGTTTTAAAGCTTGCAATTCATTTTTTAAAAAGGTACACGTTTCTAAACGTCATTGTCTTCAGCTGTAAGATGACAACATTTTAAATATGTCATTAAAATGTATCCTACCTGATTTGTAGTGGAAATAAATATTCAAGGAAGTTATCCATGTAATCCTATTAAAGCAGAGTTTGCAAGGAAATGTTTCGCATGCTCTTGAAACTTTGAAGCTCATGATGGTTGTAAGCCATGCTATAGCTCTGTTGTTAAATTTTCCCAAAGCAGTTAAAGCTAATGGCAGTAACAAATGAAATGCTGTAAATCCAGGAAAGCATCAAGCTTGCTTAATTCCTGAGGCGTAAATTTTAATCATTGAAATAGAATTTTTTTTCCTGTTTCCTTAGCTAATCTCACTTTTCTTTGTTTTTCCCCAAGAGGATTTGATATTTTGCTAAGAATGAAATCAATTACAGTACAACTGCAATTTATAAGGGATTTAGTATTAGACAGAAGTCACTAAGATGAGAAAAAGGTGTTTCATGTTTCACCCTGTTTTTTAAGCAAAGGAGTGTCTTTCTGTCTCTCATTCATTTTATTTTGTTTTGTTTATTTCTTCTATTTTCCACTGAAGAATTTGGCAAATCGAGCACATAGAATTGACATTCAGCTAGACAATTATTTCTTGAATATCTTTTACTACCTTTTTGAAACTTAGAATACTAATTTATGTAATTTATATGATTCAATTGGAGTTCATATATGAACTATAGAAATTTGTTTTGCCGATGTAACATTGAAATTTCTCCATCAGAATTCCCAAGTATGTTTGTCAAAAACACAGATTCCCATGCTCTCACCATAGCACACTGAGTCAGAATGTTTGTTTATACAGCCCATGTAATTGAATATTTAATATGACCCTCAAATGATTTCTAAGTTTGAGAACCATTACTATAAATGAGGAGATAGCCAAATACATAGAATTACTGGCGTTTTTTCACCCTGTCTCCTCTTCACTTGGCTTTTTTTTTCTTTTCTCAATTTTATTTACTATAACTGTATCTTCAAAGTTGAGCTTCACCTTTCGTCAATAGAATTGTAGCACTGCTGGGTAAACCTGAAATAAATTAAATTTGTGCCCTAAGGTATTTAGCCTTATTTTTTGCATTTCATTAAATTTGTTATGTTTCTTATGTTTTCAAATAGGAAATTCATTTGCTCTTTTTGTAGATTAGCATACATGTATTTGCAGAATGTCATATTTTAGTGAATAGAAAAATTGTCTATACTGGACTTTTATAAAGAATCTAAGGCCCTTCCTTTCAAGAGACTGAAGTTAATTTAGTGAAAATTCAATTGGAATAACTGAAATGATCAATATCTAGGAAGAATAAAGTGTATTTGTCAAAAGATGAATTAATTCCTTTGTAATTTAAAGAAAATTATATTCAAATCAGAGGTGCCTAAAAGAAAAAATGCAAGGCAATAGAATATAAATAATATAATATGTGCTGTAATACCATTCTGTGGTGCATGAATAGGCAAAGTACTCAAGCTACTGTATATTTCAATCCAGTAATGGTATGACTCATTTACATATGCACAACACAATCGGAATTAAACTGGTGTTGATTTAAACGCAATCCACATTAAACTAACAGAATGAAATAAGTAATTCCTAGATTTCTACCTAAAAAATCTTATGTATTGGAAAATAGTTCAATATAGAGTATAAATTCAAGGAAACTGCTACATTTGCTAAAAGTGCATTACAATGTATGTTATATTAAACCTGGAACAAACACACACACACACAGACAAACACACACACACAGAGATTATAATCTAAACATTTTCTTATGAATAATCCCTAGAACTGAATTTTTAATGACCAAGAGAAATAATATGAAGGCAAGATTGTATAGATCTGAGTCAAAATTGACTGCTTAAATATGATCATTATATTTTAATTTTCAATTATAGGCTTTGCCATAATTCCTTTAACTCTCTACTTTATTTAGTCTTCTTTACTATTACTTGTATAATCTTGAAATTATATAGGTCTCTAAAACTCATATGGCTCAGCCTACCAGCATTTTTTGGAATGCTTTAGATCTGTACAGTCACTGAAACACTGTCATTGGATGTTTATACATGTGTATAGTAACAATGAAATCATTTTTTTCTTTACCACTAATTAGGGATATAGAAATAACATGAAAAACTTGAATTACAGTTTCTTTACTTTTAAAACAAAGGTGTTGAGCCCTTTATTTTCCAAATTTTCTTCCAACTCAAAAATTACCTAATACACGCCAGGCGTGGTGGCTCACGCCTGTAATCCCAGCACTTTGGGAGGCCGAGGCTGGTGGATCACCTGAGGTCAGGAGTTTGAGACCAGCCCAGTCAACATGGTGAAATTCTGTCTCTATTAAAAATAGAAAAATTAGTCAGGCATGGTGTCGCGCACCTGTAATCTCAGCTACTTGGGAGGCTGAGACAGGAGAATCTCTTGAACCCAGGAGGCAGAGGTTGCAGTGAGCTGAGATCATGCCACTGCACTCCAGCCTGGGCGACAGAACAAGATTCCATCTAAAAAAAAAAAAAAATTACATAATACCATGAGGCAATTTGAACCATGGCTGGTAAAATACTGATTGTCAGAAATTCTTACTTAAATTAAGAATATAGTTGTTTAATCATGATTCTTATTCTTTCTGGAGGAATACTCAATAGGATCTTTACAGATGTAAGTGAGAAAAATCCATCTCAAGCACATTTTTGCAAACAAGAAATTTACTGCCTCACAAAATTGACATGGCTTGGAATTGTTTCAAAAATGATGGAATTAAAGTTATGTTTCACACTATCTCTCTATTTTCCTCTGCAATGCTTTCATTCTGAGAAAGATGTCTCCAAATGTTGACAATGTTGCCAACAACACTTCTAGCAAAAAGCCTATTGGCTTATCAACCCCAACAAAAAGAACCTGCCGCTTTTCCAAGGTTTCCTTAAAAAGTCTAAGAATTGAATCTCATTGGCTTATGTCTATTTTTGATTAATCACTCTGGCTGAGAGATGAGGAGATGGGCTTATAGAGTATACTTATTTACTATGCCTAGATAGAATGTCTATCTCTCAGCTAGGAATTAAGATAAACCCTAATTAAAACAGAGAAGCAGTATGGCTGTTCAAAGCAAAAGTGGAGTGCTTCTATCAAAGAAAAAAAAAAAGAATTAGATGCTGAGAAGGTAAAAACAAAAGAGGTCCAAGTTATTATCTCAAACACTTTATGACAGCTACCTTCTTGTCTCATTGTTCATTTATTAGATTTTCTTCAGCAAGGAGTTCTCAAGCATTTTAGTAACAGGAATTTCTTTATAATCCATTGCTGAGAACCTCAAAGAGCTTTTGTGTATATGAGTTATATGTACTGACATTCACCATATTAAAAATTATTACTGATACATTTTAACATATTTGATTATTTATTTATATAAAATAACATGAATATCCTGTTACTTGTTAACATAACTAGCCTACTTTTAAATATGGGAAATTATATATTCTAAAAATAAATTCATGAGAAGAATGTTACTGTTTTACATTTTTTACAAATTCTTTCAATGTCTTCAGATGGTTGGATTTTCATTTTTCATATCTTCTCTGCCTTCAATCTACTGTAAATTATTTTGATGAAGATCTTGCTGCACACAAATATGTAGCTGAAAAGAGAAAAGTGTATTTTAATTGCCTTTTCAGGTAATTGTGGATCTTAGTCTTTGATACCACATCCAAATTTGGCTAATAGTTTCATAAAGGTTGCAATGTGAAACCCAAAATTGTATTGATAAACTTTTTTTATTGTCTCATTACAATTCATTGGTCTAACTTGCATTTTGAGTAGATCTTTTACCCATAATGTTAAAATTTTAAAATATCATACATTGTTCATTTGGAAAACATTGGTTCACTTTAGTATGCTGTAGAAATGCTTTATGTGTACTTCCCATTTCATCATACAGAATATGAGAAAGACATTCACTCAAAGAGTTGATATTTAATACAATTAATATTATCGTGCCATCAATGACATTCTTAAACAAAACTGGCCTTTTTACCACTTCCTGTGAGTCCTTGACTGTAAAGAATACAATGACTGTTAGTACATTTTGTTACCACTGCTTTTATTCAAGCAAAAACATTAGGCACTTTACTCACTGTTACTTTTGTACCACACCGCAAGTGTCAATACACTGAAAAAGGCTAATAATAATATCTTCTATTATGAAAATGCTTTTGATCTTGCAATTCCATGAATGGGTCGTTTTAAACCACACTTTAAAAAACAAACTGCCTAAATCTTTTAAATTTTTTTCTCCACAACACTTATTTTATCATGTCTTCGTAGGTCCATAGATGCATAAAATTTTGTCAAGATCTGTGCTAAAATGGGATAATACATTTGAAAGTAAATTTTATACTTTTAAGTGCCTTACAGGTATAATAATATACTATTATCATCATTGTCATTATTACTATTAATGATGTGACATATTGAACTAAGAAGAGCTTCAGGTATGGTTTGACTAGTGCAGACTCAAGACAGGGGACTATTATTCATCTGTTAATGTTGTCTAACTTACACTAAATTCTACCAGCTATTTCACAATACTGATACATATTGAACTTGTGGTTAACAAAAATATGAGGGGTTTTATTCTGCAAAACCAGGCATCTTCTACTGTGTATTTCTATAATTGATTATTTTTTTAATTCAAAATTGTATTTCAATCTGGCAATTGGAAAACCGAGCTGTTGCCTTGTAACTGAAGAAACCTACCATATTTCTAGTCTTTAGAGGACAAGAGGCCTAGACTTGTAAGTTCCGTATTCTCCACTGGAAAGCATACACTGCTCTTGAACTTCTAGTCTAATAAAATGAGTTGTTTAAAAAATACGTTCAACATTCCCACCATATTTTTTCATGGTTCCTGGGTTCTTATCTCACTGCTCTTTGTCTTTGAGCAGGTTGTTTTATAGTTCACTAAGTCACTAACCTTGAAGCAGCTTTCAAAACTTTCTTATATTTACACACATAACGCATCAAAAAAAATGAGATGGAGTATCTTGTACCTCTCTTTCATTGCTATGTCCTATTTAAGACCTTCACAACCGCATAATTCCAGCAAGTAAAAAATCAATAAATCCTGGCCCACTCACTTATTCTCTGGCACATCCTGAGCCAAAACTAAACTTTCAACAGAACACTATCTTCTTGATCACATATTTGTGGATTTTGAAGCACATACATATTTACTTTATATCCACTATTGTGGAACAATGTAGACAAAACCTGTTACTATGACTATATAATAGGTATACAGAAATAGAAGGAATCCTGGAAAATAACCTAAATAAAATTAGAATAGGGACTCTTATATGTAGTTCTACTACTTAAAATAATTTTTAAACAGATAGACCCACATTAAAAATAATTATGAAAATTATGTTTAATGGTTGCACAGTGACTTTTTTTCCAAAGAGTACTAAATGGAGGGCGAGAGGAGAATAACTTTAAATTTGAAAAATCTGAATAGCATTACCTCAGCCAGGTGATGAACATCAACATCAATAGTGATAAGTCACATTGATAGGATGCAGCCCTTCCTATGATATAAGAATGACTTTTACCTCTGTGGTCTTCATCCACAAAACTCATAATCTCAATCTAATCATGAGAAAAAAAATTAGACAAATGCCTCGTAAAGGACACTCTACAAAATATTTGACTAGTAGCCCTCAAAACTGTCAAGGTTATCAAAAACAAAGCAAGTCTGAGAAGCTGTCACACTTAAGAGAAGCCTAAGGAGACATGATGACTAAATGTCATATGAAATCCCGGCTGGAATTTTGGAATAATAAAAAGACTTCAAGTAAAAACTAGGAAAATATAAATGAAGTATTGACTTTAGTGAATGCATATATATTTATGTGAGTTCCTTAATTTCTATGGTGTCAAATATACTATACCGTGGTAAGATGGTAATAGGAGAGACCAAGTGTAGGACACATGGAAGCTCTATTATCTTTTTACACTTTTATAAATCTAAAAATATTTGAAAATAAAACGTTCATAGTTAACAGTTAAGGAGGAAAGAAGAAACCACTTATTTCAAGTTTAGAAAACCAGAGAAAACTCCCCCACCAAAAGTTCATTGTCACAAAACCTCACATGTAGTCTCAGGCAGCATGTGGGGTAAAAACAAGTCCAAAGGTTAAGACGTATAATTGAATTCAGGCTGTTTAGACACAATATGATGAAATTCTGATAGTACTGAAATGATGATAGCTGTATCCAAAGGATGTAAGACAATTCAAATATAATTGGAATTATCTCTTGCATTCATTTGTATTAAATTCCATTGTTCATTTATTGGAAAAAGCCAGTGGACATCGTGCTTTCTATGGAAGAGAGCACACCAAATAATTGTAAAATTGCCCCATGGATGGATTGATTGAACTTTTTACAAACAATAGACATTGTTACTTTTTCCTTTTTATGTCTAATAAACTTATAGTCCTACTGGCAAGATGTAAAAAATAACCAAATTTTTTCTAGTGAGAGATTTCATACTAAATCTTCAAGTGGAATTAATTCTGTTAACACTTTCAGATTTCACAAATAGTTCGAAGTCTTTTATTATTAGATTTATTTGCAAATACAATGTAAAATGAAAGATTTTTCCCTAAGTCAACCTCTGACGCATAGGTTAAGTGTTAACAGAGACATAGAAAATTAAATTTCACTGTAAACTCCTTTGAAATATGTAAAGCTTCAAAGGTATAATTGTTGCTACCTTTAATAGTATTGTTTTATTTCTAATTTATGATTGAGAGAGGAAATTCTTAATGTCAGAAATTACCGATATTGCCTCCAGGTTCCCTCAAGGGTCTGTGAACTAAACTTAATCTATAAATATGTATAAAATGATTACATAAATTATATAATTATAATTTATATAATTATATAAATATTTATAAAATGATTATGTGTCTATTTTTTAAGAAATAAGTTAATATTTAAATTTTGACTTTTAATAAAATTGGGTAATACTTAATTGGTATTTTATTAATGGCTTCCATTAATCTATTGACACTTTCTTGCCTCCAGGAAGCAGAAACACGTGGACCAGGCATCCCTTTGGGGATTTTACTCTTCCAGTATTAATTTATGCAAGAAAAAAGATGAAAACCAATGATTTAGGGCACATTAATATTTGATTTATAACAGTAAATAACAGAGAAACATAAAAACATAAAAGAAGGCAATTGTTTAATCTTTAAGGCAAAATATATAAACATTATAAGGAAAAATGAAATCCCTCATCAGCCCTAGCATATGGAAGCAAATGTCTTGATTAGTAAACTGCATTGCTAATTGCCTTTAACACTAATCTTTGTAGGGTTTCAGATGTAGCTCTTCTTTCAGTACTAATTCTTTAAGTAAACAGTCCAATAGATATTAACAGAGCCATTTAAAACCGATGCCAATAAAGAATGAATCCTGGGTACCAATATTTGCGTATAACAAAATTACATAGATGAAGAGAAGTAATATCAGCTGCTGTAACAGATCATCTCCTAAATTTCAGTGTATTAACACATAGACACTTATTTCTCTTTCACATAAAGCACAATCATGCTTTCTGGTTGGTATATAGATGTTTCTGTGCAGTCATTTAGGGGCCCAGGCATCTTCCATATTTGGTCTCTACATTCTCCTGAGCTAGAGCTCAGTTATTCCATTCAGCAGTAGGCAGAAAACAAGAATAGATGATCACATGTGAACAATTTATATGGACCAGACCTAAGCATGGCACGTATCACTTTCACTCAGATTTCACATGATCATACCTAACTTCAAGGAAGACTAGGATAGATAATCTGTTTGTATATCCAACAAGAGGGGATGTGGGTATTCTCTTATTTGTCATATGAATAAAGAACCTGTTTTTAAGACCTTAAATGTATCATAATACGGTGGAGTGTTTGATTGCAAAATTGGCCTCAATTATTCCCCCCGCACTATCTATGCCCTTGCAATGCAATGTTGTAGCTATTCCCAGGAAGACGTGGAAAGTGTGTCTCAGCCTTTTAAGTCTTTGGTGAATAGAATGTGGAGGAGGTAACACTGGGACCGTTCTGAGCCTATCTCTCAAGGTGCCTCACATGTTTCTGCCTTTTGGAAACCTGCCCAGCTACCATGAATGGATGCCCTAATTGGCCTGCTTAGATGATGAGAGAGGAGAGCAAGGTGCCCCAACCAATAGACAGCACACCCCAAAAGCAGAGCTATGTAACTAACATAGAGGATGGCAGCAGATGCATAAGGCAGCCCAGATAAGACTGGGTAAATCTCCCTGATGAGGGCAGTGTACACTCTTGGCTGACTAGCAAAATCACCAGCTAAATAAATAATTTGGAGATTGTTTGCTGAATAGATAAATGTTACGTATAAAAACTAAAATAGAAATAATAACTATGCTTAGAAAGTTGTTTTGTCGAAATATTTAGAAACTTGTATAATATTATTTTACAATGACATAAAAATAAATATATGATATTCTTTTTAAATAGGCAAAGTTGATTTTTATTTTCAACCTAATAAATTTACCCTTCACTATCTTGCTAGTTATGGGCAATGAAGCAAGGAAAAAACAGAAATTATGCACTAATAAAGCTCTGTTCTTCAAATTAATGAATATATTATTTCACATTATTCATTATTCTTTGCAACACTCATGAAACAGATGAGAAATATATTGCCTCCTATTAGTCTTTTTAGAACAAAAGGCCTTGAAAAGTGAACTACCTTAAAAAAGTCAATTAATTTTTTTAAGTTAAAAAAAAGAGAGTAAGTTGACAAAAGAAACTAAGTTCCATGGTTCCTAGTTAAGAACGTTAGCATTTCTTGTTATCTTAGGAGTTTGACTGCTGTTTTTCCCTTAAACACTCACTTGGAAATACCCATTACTGACTACTTTAAAACAATATTAGCACATTATTGTGATAACCTGTGCCTTCACATTGAAAGGATTATAAGAAAATATGCCAGATTCTGACAGGTTTGAGAGCTACATGACTTGTCAATATTCCACTTTGTTTTCACATCTTTCACTCCAGCTCACATTCCAGGACGCACAGACCAACTGAGAAGTGCAACATCTGACCACCAATATAAAATGCATGTGATCCCTCTGGTGTTCATGATTCCCTCTGCATCACTCATTGAATTCACTAATCAGAGAATTGTTATGTCTTTAGCTTAGAGGAATGTAGTTTTTCTTCCTTAGCTATGATGTATTTGGCTCAGGGATAGAAGTGGGAATTGGCTGTTTTCACAATGAAATTAGAACCAATAAACATAAGAAAAAAATGCTCAACATCACTAATGATCAGGGAAATGCAAATCAAAACCACCATGAGATATCACCTTACTCCTGCAAGAATGGCCATAATCAATACATCAAAAAATAATAGATGTTGGCATGGATGCAATGAAAATGAAAGTCTTCTACATAGCTGGTGGGAATGTAAACTAGTACAACCACTATGGAAAACAGTGTGGAGATTATTTAAAGAACTGAAAGTGGAACTATCATTTGATCCACCAATCCCACTATCTGGTATCTACCCAGAGGAAAAGAAGTCATTATACGAAAAAGATACTTGCACATGAATATTTATAGCAGCACAATTTGCAATTGCAAAAATATGGAACCAGCCCAATTGCCCATCAATCAACAAGTGGATAAAGAAATTGTGGTGTGTATATATATATGCCATATATATATATATATATATATATATATATATATGCCACATATATATATATATATATGCCACATATATATACACACCGCATATATATACACACCATATATATACACACCACATATATATACACACCATATATATATATACACACACACCATATATATATATATACACACACACCATATATATATGTACCATATATATATATATATATATATATATATATATATATATATATATATGGTATAAAGGACTACAATAAAAGGCCAGGACCAGAAGGATTCACAGCTGAATTCTACCAGATGTACAATAAAGAATGTGTACAATTCCTACTGAAATTATTCCAAAAAAATTAAAAAGAAAGGACTCCTCCCTAACTCATTTTATTAGGCCAGCATTTTCCTAATACCAAAACCTGGCAGAGATACTATATATATATATATATATATATATACACACACACACACACATATGTATATATGTATACATATATACATATATATGTGTATATATATACACACATATATACTATATATAGTATCATATATGTATATATATACACATATACACACATATATATGATACTATATATGATACTATATATACATATATGATACTATATATGATACTATATATATGATACTATATATATATGGTACTATATATATGATACTATATATATATATATATATGATGGAATACTACTCAGCCATAAAAGGTAATGAATTAATGGCATTTGCAGCAACCTGGATGGAACTGGAGACTATTATTGTAAGTGAAGTAACTCAAGAATGGAAAACCAAACACTGTATTGTTCTCACTCATAAGTGGGAGCTAAGCTATGAAGATGCAAAGGCATAAGAATGACACAATGGACTTCGGAGACTTAAGGGAAAGGGTGGGGGGCAGTGAGGGACAAAGGACTATAAATTGGGTTCAGTATATACTGCTTGGGTAATGGGTACACCAACATCTCACAAATCACCACTGAAGAGCTTACTTATGTAACCAAACACCACCTGTCCCAAAAAACCTATGGAAATAAAAAATTTTTAGAAGTTAATCAGTGCATGAGAAATTTGAATAAATCATAATAAAAGGTGGTATTTTTAAAGTGGAATTTTGTATTTCTGTGGATCAGTCATAATATCCTCCTATCATTTCTGATTGTGTTTATTTGAATCTTCTCTCTTTTTTTCTTTATTAGTCTATCTAGCACCCTATTTATTTATTTATTTTTCAAAAAGCAAGCTCCTGGATTCTTTGTTCTTTTGAATGGTTTTCATGTCTCCATCTCCTCCAGATCAGTTCTGATTTTGGTTATTTCTTGTCTTTTGCTAGCCTTTGGAGAATATTATAAACCCTTCTATGCACATAAACTAGAAACTCTAGAAGAAATAGATACATTCCTGGACACATACACTCTCCCAAGACTGAACCAGGAAGAAATTGAATTTCTGAAGAGACCATTAATGAGTCCTGAAATTGAAGCAGTAATAAATAGTCTATCAACCAAACAATAAAAGGCCAGGACCAGATGGATTCACAGCTGAATTCTACCAGATGTACAGTAAAGAATGTGTACCATTCCTACTGAAACTATTCCAAAAAATTAAAAAGAAGGGACTCCTCTCTAACTCATTTTCTTAGGCCAGCATTATCCTAATACCAAAACCTGGCAGAGATACAACAACAACAAACCTTCAGGCCAATATCCTTGATGAACATTGATGCAAAAATCCTCAATAAAATACTGGCAAACCAAATCAGGCAGCACATCAAAAAGCTTATCCACCATGATCAAGTAGGCTTCATTGCTGGGATGCAAGGTGGTTCAACATATGCAAATCAATAAATGTAATTCATCACATAATCAGAAATGAAAACAAAAACTACATGATTATCTCAATAGATGCAGAAAAGGCTTTCAATAAAATTTAACATCCATTCATGTTAAAAACTTTTAATAAACTAGGTATTGAAGGAACATACCTCAAAATGACGAGACATATATGACAAACCCACAGCCAACATCATACTGAATGGGCAAAAGCTGGAAGCATTTCCCTTGAAACCTGACTCAAGAGAAGGATGCCCTCTCTCACCACTCCTGTTTAACATAGTACTGGAACTTTAATCAGGCAAGAGGAAGAAATAAAGGACATTCAAATAGGAAGAGAGAAAATCAGACTATCCCTATTTGTAGATGACATGATCCTCTATCTAGAAAACCCCATTGTCTCAGCTCAAAAGCTTCTTAAGTTGATGAGTAACTTCAGCAAAATTTTAGGATACAAAATTAATGTGCAAAAATCACTAGGATCCCTTATACACTAACAACAATCAAGCCAAGAACCAAATCACAAATGAGCTCCCATTCACGATTGCTACAAAAATAAAAGAATAAAATATTTAGAAATATAAGCTAATTAGGAAGGTAAAAGATCTCTACAAGAGAATTACAAACCACCACTCAAAGAAATCAGAGATAACACAAAGAAATAGAAAGACATTCCATGCCCTTGGATAGGAAGAATCAATATCACAAAAATGGCCATAATGCCCAAAGCAATTAATAGATTCAATGCTATTCCCATTAAACTACCATTGACATTCCTAACAGAACTGGAAAAAATTATTTTAAAATTCATATGAAACCAAAAAAGAGATCGAATAGCCAAGGCAATCCTAAGCAAAAAGAGCAAAGCTGGAGGCATCATGCTACCTGACTTCAAACTATACTACAGGGCTATGGTAACCAAAATAGCATGGTACTGGTACAAGAAGAGATACATAGACAAATGGAACAGAAAAGAGAACCCAGAAATAAGACCACACACCTACAACTATCTGATCTTCGACAAACTTGATAAAAGCAATGGAGAAAGGATTCCTTGTTCAGTAATGGTGCTGGGATAACTGGCTAGCCGTATGCAGAAGACTGAAACTGGATGCCTTCCTTACACCATATACAAAAATCAACCCAAGATGGATTAAAGACTTAAATGTAAAACCCTGGAAGACAACCTAAGCAATATGATTCAGGACATAGGCCCAGGCAAAGATTTCATGATGAAGATGCCAAAAGCAATTGCAACAAAAGCAAAATTGGAAAATGGGATCTAATTAAACTAAAAAGCTCTGCACAGCAAAGGAAACTATCAGTAGAGTAAACAGACAACCTACAGAATGGGAGAACATTTTTGCAAACTATGCATCTGACAAAGGTCTAATATCTAGCATCCATAAGGAACTTAAACAAATTTAAAAGAAAAAAAATGGCCCCATAAATATAGGCAAAGTAAACGAACAGACACTTTTCAAAAGAAAACATACATGTGGCCAACTATCATGAAAAAAAAAGCTCAACATCACTGATCATTAGAGAAATGCAAATCCAAACCACAATGAGATACCATCCAACAGCAATCAGAATAGCTATTATTAAAAAGTCAAAAAATAACAGATGTTAGCAAGGTTGTAGAGAAAAATGAATGCTTTTACACTGTTGGTGAGAATGTAAATTAGTTCAAACCATGTGGAAGACAGTGTGGCAACTCCTCAAGGACCTAAAGCCAGAATTACCATTTAACCCAGAAATCCCATTACTGGGTATATACCCAAAGGAATATAAATCATTCCATTATAAAGACATATGCATGTTTATGTTCATTGCAGCACTATTCACAAGAGCAATGACATCTAATCAACCCAAATGCCCATAAATGACAGATTGGATAAAGAAAATGTGGCTCACATACACCATGGAATACTATGCAGCCATAATAAAGAAGCACATCATGTCCTTTGCACGGACATGGATGAAGCTGGAGGCCATTATCCTTAGCAAACTAACACAAGAACAGAAAACCAAATAGCGCATGTGCATATTAATAAGTGGGAGCTAAATGACGAGAACACATGGACACATAGCGGGGAACAAAACACCCTGGGGAGTTTTGGAGGGTGGAGTTGGGGAGGAGGGAGATAATCAGGAAAACAACTAATGGGTACTAGGCTTAATACCTGGGTGATGAAATAATCTGTATAACAACCCCCACGACACAAGTTTACCTATGTAACAAACCTGCACTTGTACCCCTGAAATTAAAAGTTAAAAAAAAATTAAAGTAGAATTCAAAATTTCAGAAGATAGGCTGTGGCAAATTTCCTATCTTTTTAGTGCTATTCCTCAGATTATCATTTTATTATTTTTAAATTTATACTCATATTCACAGAAACACATGAAAACATTATAATCAGTTGTATAAATGTAAAGTTTTTCATCAAGAATTTAAAAAATTGTTATATTACTCCTACTATATTACAATAGATACAGAGTAAGATTGAAAAGTAGGTGGTAGCCATAGTAGAAGGTCACAAATCAATATTATCTTCCCCATAATATAAGTTTACACCTATTCAAGAGAAAGTTTAAAAATTGAAGACATAGACATCATGACCAATTAATTTATAAACTTGATTGAAATATAAGGACAAAAATCAAATAAATATACATAATTGCAAATAATAGCAATATGTACATTCAGCAGGTACAGTCACCAGCTTATCATCTGCTTCTCTTCTTCCCTGTTAGACTGCCTTAATATAGGAAAGAAGGTCTATTGAACAAACCAGACTGCATCTAATAAGTCCCCATGGTAGTGTGGCATTCCTGAAAATATAAAACTAAAACACAAAGTACTGCTAAATAATATTGCCTTGGGGACTGGATTGGCAGAAATTCTGCCTCATTAAAGTAACATTAAAAGTTAATTTAAAAGTCCCAACATGCAGTTTTATTCAATACCTAATATAGTGGAAATAAAACCCATTTCTGTGCTGCTACAGTATTGGATACTATGTGGGCTTATGTGACAATGTTAGCTGATTATATCCTGATAAAATAATGGAAATATTAATATCATTTTCTTTTCACAATGGAATATTAAGTTATACACAGTTAAAATCTTCTAATTTTCTATAATATGAATAAGTATAATAATGTTCTTGTAATAGCATGTAAATGATGACGAATAGCATTATTCTGTTACAACACATAAACATAAACATTTAATAATACAGATGAAAGAATCACTAAGGAAAATTCTGCCTTATCTATTAAGTAATAGACTTGAGGAACTTTTGTATTTATGAAAATCATTAGCTTTATTTGCCAAATCAAATTATATTGGTTAAATATAATGGATTAACCAGTCAGCAAGTATATGAACTTAACTTCTATATCATGTATAGAAGTAATGCATAGACATTACTGTCAAATCAATTTATAGCTTTATTAAAAGATAGAAACAAAACGTGTTCAGAGTGTTTTTTGAATGCCATGTCATGAACAAAATGGTGTGAAATAGGGCCATGAGATTATCCTGCTCTCAAGATGCATATGATCTTATGAATAAAATAAAAAATAGAGGAAATATTTAATTAGAAAAGCAAAAGATGCCAACAATGTGTATTATTAAAATATGAAGTTTCAGCTAAAGTGATTAGGGACACTTTTTCATTTTGATCAGATCATGAAGAAGGAAAAGGGCATTGTATCAGTAGGAAACTGGTGAGAAACAGACACCACATTCAAATACAGGATTGAGTAGAGGGTCTATTAATAATGGTGTGAGCAGGATTAAGGAAAACCAGTAAGGAATGAGGCAATATTTTGGAAATAAAAACAGAGTGTCATTACTGGTTCCCATAACAAGGGAAGGAAACAGCATGTAACCAGAAAGAGGAAAATTAACATAGTTGTAGGATAGGACTACTTATTAGGAGCTTGCAATACTAGAAAGGTAGAGGAAAAAGTACCTTGAGCTTGCCCTCATTTCTGCTGGTAACTTTCATTAGTCAAAACCACTCGAACCTGGAGGACAAGAGAGACCACTATGATTCTAAAAAGGTTAGCCTCTCAAGATGGACAAGGGTGGAGGGTGGATATAGAAGAAAAAATAGAGAATATACACCACAGATATGAATGTCTATTATAGAAGCACATTAATATTGGAGGGCTGCTAACTTAAAATTGTATAAAATACCACATTGAATTTTTTCTTATAAACACAACAAGATAAATTTGAGCCAGATTATTCACCAATGATAAACAAAATCATATTGCCAGTACTCTAGAACCCTTTGTGTGCTCCTTTGTGATCACAGCCATAACTGATCCTGATTTTGAGATAATTTCTTCTTTCCATTTTTTGCTACCTATTCACATATCCTTAAGTAAGACCATTTAGCTTTGCTTGTTCTGGAAATGTTCATGATTTAAATCATTCCATCTACATATTTTTAAGTTTGTCATCTTGTACACAACATTTTGCTCTAAAGATTTATCCATGGTTTTGCATGTAGAAATAATTTGGTCACTTTCACTTTTGTAAATTATTCACTATCCTACAATTTATGTGTCTATTTATATACATTTGGGCTGTTTCTCTGGCTTTTAGCTATATAAAAATGTCACTCTGAGCATTTTTGCACATAGATTTTGATGAATACTTGCATAAGCTTCTCTGGAATACAAACCTCAGGTCATAGAGTTTGCATAGTTTTGTCTTTGTTAGATAATGCTAACTGTTTTCTAAAGCAATTGGCAATATATACTTCCACCAAGAATGTGTGAAAGTTTCCATAGCTTCATATCCACACCATGTGTTATTGTCCAACCTTTAAATTTTTGTCAATTTGATGGATGTGTAGAGTTATCTTTTGATAAACATAAGCTCTTAGTTTTAATGTAATATAACTTCTCAAGCAATGTGTTGTGGTTAATTCATCTTATATCTTGTTTGAGAAATCTTTACCCCAAGAGTCATGGAAATGTTATTCCATATTTTTTCTGAAAACCATTTTGGTTTGTCTTTCACACGGAGGCTTTTAATCGGTCTGAAATGATGTTTTGTGTGTGGTAATAAGGTCAGTGTGCAATTTTCTCTTTTTTTTTCTACTTTTTAAATAACCACTTTTTTTCTCCACTGATATGCAGTGTTACCTCTATTACATATCAGTAATTTATAGAAATATGGCCTTGTAATGAAGATTTTAATATGCTGAATCTTTACAAAAATAGATATAGGCTGGTATTACTCCCTGGTAGAAATGAGGAAACAGATTGATAAAGTTAACATCTTTCCAGTACCAAATGACTAATAAGAGACAAATTCAGGATTCTGATCCACGTTGTTCTAAATCCAAAATCAAAGCTCTTTCCACCATGACACTCTGAGAAGAGAGAACAAGGATTCTTTTTTCGGATATTATTTGATTGAATTATCTCCTTATAAATTCTGGTTCCTTTCTACATCAACTCTTAGTATATTCATTTGTGTTTCTTTCTCCCATCTAAACTTCTTGGTGTTAATCTCTACTTGTAGTTATCTATAGAATCTGAAAAAAACTTTTTTTCTATTCAGAAACTCCAAAAGTGCTCTCACTTTCCCAACCGTTTCATTTTGCTTTTGAGCTAATTCCTCAAAGTCAGTATGACTCTTGGTTGTATAATCAGTGAATTTACCTTCAATTGCTTTCCACTATTTTCTTCCATTACCTTTGTTTTCTCTAGCTTTGCTATAATTGCATACATCTTCCCAGTGGGCTACTTACTAATTTCTCAATGCCTAGGTCAATGTACATCACATATTAAGTGCTTGCCCTCCTTGTGCAGTGAATCCAGTTGTTCTAGAGTAACTGTTTCACTCACAGAAAGCTCCTCTGAGGCTAGTTCTAATTCCATGTTGGTATTTCAGGTATCGATAACATAATGAGAGATATATTTTAGTAGAGATGTTTTTCTGTTTTCCTCCAAAAGTCACAAGGTAAGTGAGTAAGCCTTCTTCCATATTTCAAAGTTAGCACTGGAAACAAGAACTGATTTTGGTCCCATTGTTGAAGAGCCCAGGAAATCTGTAAATTGACATAAGTTGTTACTAATACTGCATCAAGATCTGTGCTTTGAATTCACAGGACAATGGCAAATCGGTAGAGTTTACGTGATATCTTACAAATTAAGTTTTAATCTTATTTTTCATCCAAGAAGTACTTATTTTATATTGTGTTTAGAACAAAGATGTCTAAATTGTATATACTAAAAAAAAACAAAATAATGTAACATAAATTATTGACTGCGCTAAAATTTGACACTTCTAAAATAAAGGACAACCAAATACATGTTCGGATAGGAAAGTTGTGGTACGGGTATAAGAACGCATTTCAATTTATAATTTTTCAAATGTCATATTTTCCCTTGAGGTCACAAATATGTTTCATATTGTGGGTGAAATAGTAAGACTGACATGTCTTAACACTGTCATAATATCAAGAGTTTCATGAGTTGAACTCCCAAAGCCTCTTGTGACTTCATTAGCTACTTTCTGTTCTCCTCTGTCAAAAACTCAAAGAGGTAATTCATGTGAGTGTGTCATTCCAGGCTATATCCATGACATGGAATTATGCTTTCTTTGTGCTTGCAATAGCGCTTTAGGGTAACATTAGCCTCCCTTTTCCTTTTCTGCTGCATTGATGGTGACTTGGGTTTTTTTGTTTGTTTTGTTTTGACTTGCTTGACTGTCAGGTGGAAATCACAAAAGGAAATGAGGTTAGAAAATAAAAACAGAACCACTTCTTCATAGGAGCTCTATTGTCCTGCTGCAAAGTGTAGAGCAAATCCACCAGCTGCAAGAGAACAAAGAGCTGTCACATACACCTTCAGTAATGAAGAGCTCTTCTTTCCTGTTAGATTCACCAAGCAAGCTCTTAAAGTCCATTGTGAGTCTATTACTATTATGATGACAGCTTTAGTAAGTTTAGCCTAAGGGGATATCCATTATTGTGCATAAAAACAGAGACTAGTGTGTGTGTGTTTCCAACTTTAAAAAGGTTTTGCAGCTTCAATTTCCTTTTGTTAAGTTCCCACAGTCTGAATTAGAGACACACTAAAAATGTCAGTTTCTCTTCATATGTGATGATCAATCATTTTAACCATTTTAACAATTGATACTGACAACAACTGAAACAGCAATTCACATTCACTGCATTCATAGCCCAAAAGATCAAATATATTATGCCACAGTCCAAGTGTTCATTGTAATTGTGTGCACATGTATGGGTGTGTGTGTGTGTGTGTGTGTGTGTATGTGTATGTAGATAGAAAGAAAGCTAGATTACATACATATGACATATAATATATAATATGTTTAGTATATATTACCTGTCTATATATTTATTACTTGTCAATAAGGCTAAATTACTGGTTTTTACTTGAGAACCCAAAACAAAAAATGTAAATGAGAAATCACACATTTTAAATAAAGGAATATTTAAAGTTTTTTATATCATAGTGACTATGTTGTCCACTGAAGGAAACCATAGACTGCATTTAAAATCTATTTCATAGACACTTACGTATCAAGGCAAACTAGAATAGAAGAATATGTGCCTAGAAGCGAGATTCAACATAAAATGTTTAAGAACCTGATGTGAAGGAGACCTGGCATAGTAGCTCATGTCTGTAATCTCAGCACTTTGAGAGGCCAAAGCAGGAAGAGTGATTGAATACAGGAGTTCGAGGCTGCAGTGATGTATAATCATGTGACTGCATTCCAGCCTGGGCAATGAGACTCTGTCTCTAAAAAAGAAAAAAAAAAACTTGAAGGAAACAGTCTATGTCTAAACAAAGAGAGAGGTGCATTGAGTGCTAATAGATGACATTAGAAATACTCTTGGGAACCACATTACTGAGGACGTGGTAAACAAGTTATGAATTTTAGTTTTATTTGGAAAGCAATGGTTTGTGAAACGCTATACTGAAGAGAGTGGAATTTCTAGTAAATAAACAAGTCTGGCTACAGTGATATGGAAATTGGATAGGAAAGAGATATGACATAGAAATCTGTTAAGAAACTGTATCAATAGCTCAGCCTTCTTTTCATGAAATTCTAGTAAACTAGGCTCACAGGAGGGAAGGTGTATTAGTCAGGGTTCTCCAGAGAAACAGAACTAATAGTACATATAAGAGGGGATTTAATGTGGGAACTGATTCCCACAATTATGGAGGCCAAGAAGTCCCACAATATACTGTCTGCAAGGTACAGAACCAGGGAAGCACGTGGTGTAATTCGGTCTTTTCAGTGTTAGTATAAAAGCCTGAGAAACATGGTGGGTTGGAGAGAGGGGTTGCTAAATTTAAGTCCTGGAGTTTGAAGACCCAAGAACCAAGAGATCAGATGTTTAAGGACAAGAGCAGATGGATGTCCTAGCTCTAGAAGAGAAAGCAAATTTACCCTTCCTATGTTTTGGTTCTACTTGGGCCCTCAGTGGATTGGATAATACTATGCAAATTGGTGAGGGCAGATCTTCCTTATTCGGTCCCCTAATTCAAATACCAATCTCTTCCAGAAACACCTTCACAGACATGCCCAGAAATATTACTTCACCAGCTATTTGAGGACCTCTTAACCTAGTCAAGCTAACACCTAAAATTAACCATCACAGAAGGTAATCATCAATTCCAAACACAAAAGTAAATTTAAGCAAAGAAGGTGGATCACAGATATGAGAGCTGAAAGCAAATAAGAAAGTGATACACTGAGGTCATGTGACAATGTCAGGTATCTAGAGACCAATTTTGAGTCATTGACAAGATAGAGAATCTGAACCTGAGCCTTTCGTTTTATGTCTGGGAGACAGGGATAAAGTAAAATAATTCCTGATCCATATCATACGCTTGGATCCTGGTAGAAAATTCTCTGCAGGCCAGCGCAGTGGCTCACGCCTCTAATCCCAGCACTTTTGGAAGCCGAGGTAGGACTATCACCTGAGGTAAGGAGTTTGAGACCAGCCTGGCCAATCTTTCACCATTTACTAGAGATGGTGAAACCCTGTCTCTAGTAAAAATACAAAAATTAACCAGGTGAGGTGGTGCACCCCTATAATTCCAGCTACTCCAGAGGCTGAGGGAGGAGAATCACTTGAACCTAGGAGGTGGAGGCTGCCATGAGCCAAAACCACTGCACTCCAGCCTGGGCGAAAGAATCAGACTCCGTCTCAATAATAATAGTAATAATAATAATAATAATAATAATAATAATAATAAATAAAAACTCTCCAGAGTAAACTATTCCCAGTTGGGCCCTCAAAATTTTCATATATTAAAATCAAACGTTTCAGGGTTTAAAACTCCTTTTAGCATTTCTTGTTGTGCTGGTTTGGTAGTGGCAAATTCTGTCGCTATTCACTGATGATATGATCTTATACCTAGAAAACCCTAAAGGCTCATCCAAAAATCTCCTAGACCTGATTAATGAAATCAATATACACAAATCAGTAGCACTACTATATATCAACAACAAGCGAGCTGAGAATCAAATCAAAAACTCAATCTCTTTCATAACAGCTGCAAAAAATAAAAAATAAAATGCTTAGGAATATACTTAGCCAAGGAGGTAAAAGTTCTCTCTACAAGGAAAACTGCAAAACACTGCTGAAAGAAATTATAAATGACACAAACAAATGGAAACACATCCCATGCTCATGGATGGAAAGAATAAATATTGTGTAAATGATCATATTATCCAAAACAATGTACAGATTCAATGTAATTCCCATCAAAATACTATCATTATTCTTCACAGAACTAGAAAAAAAATCCTAAAATTCATATGGAGCCAAAAAAAAGAGCCTTCATTGCCAAAGCAGTACTAAGCAAAAAGAACAAATCTGGAAGCATCACATTACCTGACTTCAAGTTATACTACAAGGCAATAGTTACCAAAACAGCATGGTACTGGTTTAAAAATAGACACATAGACCAATGGAACAGAATAGAGATCACAGAAATAAAGCAAAATATTTACAGCCTACTGATCTTTGACAAAGTATACAAAAACATAAATTTGGGGAAGGATACCCTGTTCAATAACTGGTGCTGGGGAAACTGGCAAGCCACATGTAGAAGAATGAAACTGGATCCCCATCTCTCACTTTATACAAAAATCAACTCGATGAATCAAACACTTAAATCTAACACCTGAAACCATAAAAATTCTAGAAGATAACATTAGAAAAACTCTTCTAGACATGGGAGTAGGCAAAGAATTCATGACTAAGACTCCACAACCAAATGCAACAAAAATAAATAAATTAATAGGACCTAATTAAACCAAAAATCTCCTGTACAACAAAGAAAATAGTTGGCAGAGTAAACAGACAATCCATAGAATGAGAGAAAATATTCACAAACTATGTATTCAACAAGGACTAATATCCAGAATCAACAAGGAACTCAAACAAATCATCAAGGAAAGACAATCTCATGAAAAAGTAGGCAAAGGACATGAATAGACAATTCTCAAACAGCCAACAACCATGAAAAAATACTCAACATCACTAATCAGGGAAATATAAATTAAAAGCACAATTAGCTCTACCACCTTACTCCTGCAAGAATGGCCATAATTTTAAAAGTCAAAAAACGATAGATGGTGTGGATGTGCTGAAAAGGGAGCGCTTTTACACTGCTGGTGGCAATGTAAATTAGCCCAACTACCATAGAAAACAGTATGGAGATTCCTTAAAGAACTAAAAGCAGAACGACCATTTGATCCAGCAAGCCCACTACTGGTTATCTACTCAAAGGAAAAGAAGCCATTATATAAAAAAGACACATCCACATGCATGTTTACAGCAGGAGAAACAGCAAATGCAAAGATATGGAACCAAGCTAAGTGTCCATCAACCAACAAGTGAATAAAGAAAATGTGGTATATATAAATCATGGAATTCTACTCAGCCAAAAAAAAAAAAAAAGGAACAAAATAATGCCTTTTGCAGCAACTTGGATGAAGCTGGAGGCCATTATTCTAAGTGAAGTAATTCAGGAATGGAAAACCAAATATATATGTTCTCAGTTATAAGTAGGAGCTAAGCTATGAGGATGCAAAGGCATAAGCATTATATAATGGACTTTGAGGACTCAAGTGGGAAGGTTGGGAGATGTGTGAAGAATAAAAGATTTATTTGTTACAGTGCTCAGATGACAGCTACACTAAAATCTCAGAAATCACCACTAAGGAACTTATTCATGTAACTGAAAACCACCTGTACTCCAAAAGCTATTGAAATAAAAATAAAAACTAAAAACTCAAAAGTAGTGTAAAATTATATACAAATAATTAAGCTATATGGATAAGAACCAGCTGATTTTTTAAAGCAGAGATGTAGACTCATAAAGACTAAAGATACTGAATTAGGAAATACAAAATATAAAATATTTATGGATAAAATATTTAAGGCATAAAGAATAGAATCACAGAAATAACTTAAAGTATAATAAAAATATATTTAAAAAGAGAGAAAAAAGAAAAAATGGAAAATAATGAGTAAAACAGCAATTGGCACCACAGCTCTAGGGGAAAATAGCAATAAGAACATAAATCTAAAGACTCTAAACAGAATACTGCAAAGAGATAGAAGGAATTGCAGACTCAGGAAGAAAAATGGAGGATCAAATAAAAAGGAGTATATGTCTAATTGGAGTCTCAGAAAGAGAAAATGAAGAGAATGAATCAGAGATTACGTTTGAAGAGATAATGTCTGAAAATTTTCCAGAAATTATGAAAACATGAACCCTCATATATAAAATTAGCAGATAAGAAGCAGAATTTTATGAGATAGAGACAGAGAGGAAGAAGGAGAGATGGAGAAAAGGAGAGAGGAATAAAAAGAAGGAAAAGAGGAACAGAGGAGACTGAAAGAGAGAGATTGCGATTCATTCACACCTAAACATAGTTCAGTAAAAGCAGGCAGGTTGCATACCAAGACAGATAACTAGATCAATAACAGATGCCTTAATAGAATCAACGGAGCCAGAGGACAGTGGAAAATATCTTCTAAGTGCTTAGAGGAAGGGGAAAAAAAAACTCTCATACTTAGAACTTTGAAAAATCAGGAAAAATAAATTCATTTTTAGACAAAGAAACAATTATTTTATCATTAACAAATTCTCACCATGGAAAACTTATGAGAGATGTGTTATGAAAAAATATTACTACTCCAGAAAGTTTAGCTGAATGCAGAAAAGAATAATGAGGTAACAATAATAAAGGCAAACATGTAGATAAATGCAGGTGTTTCATCAAAATACATACCGAGTACCTACTATGTACTAGGCACAGTTCTAAGCAAATAAAATACAATTCTGCATTTTTGGAGCTTCCATTCTAGTGTGGAGAGACAATATAAATAATAAGCATAATAAACATAAATGTCAAATTGTTTGTTTGAAGCAAAACATATATCATCCATGTAAATAAAAATAACAACGTCAAATTTATCATGTAAATATGAATGTAAAATACTGCACCAATATATTATATGTCAAGAAGGGATGCAACCAGATTAAAGTTTTGCAAGGTCTTTGCCTCTTTCAGAGGGTAGAATTAACGTGTAACACGTTTTAAAATTTGTTAAGAATACATGATACAATTCCATAGTTAACTGTGAAAAGATTAATATTAAGTTTCCAAGCCAGCAAAAGAATAAACAGAATAAGAAATTATAAACATATGAAAACTGAAGCAATGATAGCTGCGATCCAGGTTTTAAAAAACCTTAATATAGGGTAGTAATAGCCAGGATTTAAAAACAATGAACAAATTCTAGAAATATTTAAGTGGAAGAAAAATGGAATAGAGTGATGGACTGTAATACAAAGGGTGAAAGAGATGAAAGAGCCAATGAAAAAAAATCCAGGTTTTTGGTCTGATGTTTGGGGTGGAAAGCAGTAGTACCATTTATTAGAATGAAAAAGGGACTTGGAGGAGGTTGTTGGTGATTTTTATTTTGTTTTGGAAATTTCACTTTTACTATCAATGAAATATGCAAATAAATGTTATACATTAAATGTGCAGATAGTGGTTCTGAAACTCATGGAAAGTATAGAGGCTTGAGTTATAAATTTGGCACCTAAATTCATGACATGACATGCATTTCTTAAACCCTCCCAACTGCTGCAATTTATTCTCTCCAGATTTCTTTTTGTTTATTGTTTATTTTTCTACCTTTTTCTGTTTATTCTTTCCTTCTTCATTCACCTCCTTTCCTTAATAGCACCCTGGCAGAATACCAGTTGCAGGGATATTATTGGTTCAAATGGGAGTGCAATATTCATCACTGGATTTGGTAGCATTTGTAAAAATGTAAAATGCAGATATCTTTAGATCCAGCAATTACATCTTTAAGAAACCATTCTTAAAGGTTCATACATATAAGCAAATATATATGGAAAATCGTTATATTAGATTTGTGTATAATAACAAAAGCTAAGAAAATGCTACCATATGGGTAAAAGGTGGTTAAATGCTTTGAGCACGTTTGTGCAGGGGAATATTATGTAGTGTTTTAAAAAATTGAGGAGCAACTTCATGATTTGAGATGTATTAGTCACATGTCTGTCACCAATTTAAGCTTAGAACACACCCACACAAAAACAAAATGTTGAAGTCATTGATTGAAAATGTATCTTTAGGCCGGGCGTGGTGGCTCACGCCTGTAACCCCAGCACTTTGGGAGGTCGAGGCGGGTGGATCACGAGGTCAGGAGATCAAGACCATCCTGGCATCCTGGCTAACACAGTGAAACCCCGTCTCTACTAAAAATACAGAAAAAAAAAAAAAAAAAAATAGCCAGGCATTGTGGCGGGCAGCTGTAGTCCCAGCTACTCGGGAGCCTGAGGGAGGAGAATCGCTTGAATCCGAGAGGTGGAGGTTGCAGTGAGCCGAGATCGTGCCACTGCACTCCAGCCTGGCCTACAGGGAGATTCTGTCAAAAACAAAAACAAACAAACAAAAAAAACTATCTTACATGTAGTTTTTTCAGTTTCGGAAATTTACTTGGCTTCTAGTGAACCTGTTCTTTGCTTTTTTAAAAAAGAAATTTATCATGAAATAATATTTTTTAAATACAAACTTGCCAATTTTTAGCATAGAGCAAAATAAATTAATTTAAAATGTATCAATTTGAAATGCTGGAACTCTTTGCATCTAGTTATCTCATGTTCTGTTTTTATCTGGCCTTTAGGGTTTTATCAAACTGCAAGAAAATATGTATTCATGAACATGCTTTAAATGAGCTGTAATTAAAATCACTGAAAACTGTTTACATTTTTGTAAATTTGTTGGCATTTCCATAATTTTATCTTATTTAGTTTACCATCTTTAATAAACTCACCTTCCTTGCCTTCTCAAAATTTATCATTACAATAGAGAAGGAGTATTATTGTTAGAGCTACTATATTTCTTCATTTAGCATAGCCTAGTGTTAGGATGTAACAAAAGGCATTTTTTTGTGAATTAGGAAAAACATTGTTTTTTAAAATTTGCTTGTTATTCTTATATTCTATATATTTTATGCACTGAAAATACAAATAAACATGAGCATCACATACATACTATATACTTTACCTTATTTTATTATATCTAAATATTATAGGAATAGTATTCGTGTGAGCAAGAGGAAAGACTGCCAGTGTTACCCACTCTTTACTACTTGAGATGTACCCCACCTTTTCTTCTCCATCTTACCTACCATCCCAAAAAGGGGAGCTAAAGAAAGGAGTTTACTAACTCCAGATGTCTTCCTGAATGACAGATAAATTAATAGCCAAAGTTCAGAGCAGGGTTCATTAATAGCTGAAGTTCAGCCAGGTTGGCTCAGGCATATGGTAAAAATTAGAAGAGCACTAGAGAAATTCCTACATCCAAATCACCTGGCCTTTCCTGTGCTCTGTACTATCAGCTGGGAATGGAATCCTCCAGTCCATTATCAAAGAAAAAGCTTATAATAGAAAGACCCTTGTGAGAAAAAATACATGCCTTAAACCCAAAGGGCACAGATCATCTGGGAGTTCTGAGAGTTGTCATGTTGAAGAAGGAAAAGGCCTGTGAATATAAACTTTGTCCTGATCTAGCAAGAGTCAAATGAAAAACACGTGGGTGTGGACTCAGCTTAGGAGAACTGGAATCTTGAGATGGGAAACTTACCTAGCAGAAAAACAAATTCAACTTCTAAGTACCTGGTTTTAGCTGGGACTAGAGTGACAGAAAGTGAAAAGCACTAAAGCTAAGAAACTGAAAGTATTAAACAATTGATTCTTAATCACAGATAAATTTGTCCAGAGAAAACTACGAATTATGCTTGTTCACTGAATATCTCCCCAATTCCCTGTTCTTTTCCTTAACCTCAATTTTTCAGGTAATAAAACTTAATGGCATTCTAATAGGAACTCTACCATAATTTTTAGAAGGTATCTAAATATCACTTTATGCCAGGATAGAAGTGATGAGTGTCTAGTGAAAAAGAAAAAAGCCAAAATGATGAGAATGATGATATCCGAAAACTAAATAGTGCCTTCAATTCTAACTAAAGATTTTAACATTCTCCTCAGCCTGGATACCTTTCCCTCTATTCTGCTGTCACCTTTTCTTGTACGCCCTTCCTTATTTCCTTGTTGGGATTCATTCTCTCATCTCTTCTCCCACACCTTTTAATACTTTTCACAAAATGCAATTGTATAAATCTGTTTCCTTACTCAACTGCAAGCTCATTGAGGGCAATGACTATGTCTTATTTTTATTTATTTATTTATTTATTTTTGCTTCCTAGAGTCTAGAGCATTGCCTGGAATACAGTATTTGTTGAATCATTGAATTAATTAATTAATTACTTTTGCTATTATGTTATTTTGCCCACTTTTTTGGTATTCTTTATTAAGACTTGGGTTCCATAATTTTTAAAAGAAAGCTTAATTAGGCTTTAAAAATTTATTTCTAATTTGGTACTTTTCTCTTCTTTGCCGGCTAAAGAAATATGGTTACTTTAATTTTGCACAGCATAGGAGAAAACAATGTAGTTCTCACCAAATTAGTAAGAGGAGTGTGAGATTTGAAGAAAACAGGTACATTTGGGTGATTACCAAAGTGAGATTCCCAAACATACAGTCAGCAATTAGTTGGCCCTGGGATTTTTAAGTAATAAATATTAGGGTGTCTGGAATTACCTTTGCTCACGAATTTAATTACTATTTATTGAAGTTATTCCCTGAGAGGAAAGGAGATGAAGAAAAATCAAGGATAATTAGGAGGTTTTCTTTTTTTTTTTTTTTTTTCTGAGAATTTACAGAAAGCATAGAAAAAAAATGTGCGGTCAAGTTGGCGGAAGTTCATGATTACATAAATGATATCTGCTTCTTTACAATATCAGATTCAGAGCTCAACGTTGGCATGGTGGGTCTACCTCATGATTTTAGATGGTATATGCTAGAGACAGGACTTATTAGCTGTGAGTCTATTCCTGAGCATAGATTCTCCCTCTCCCTTACCTCAAACTCCCGTTATTGAATTATCCTGTCCTCAAATTATCTCAGCTCTCAATGACAGCTGAGAGTGAATTTAAGGAATAAGAGTAAACACAGAGCTAAGCCCTGGGAAAAATGATCATCACACTAGCAAGAGTAGAGACGTTTTTCTGCCCTGGAGGGTAACTTCAATTTGTAGGAATGTTATCTCAAAGGATTCAGGCCTTTATAAAATCAGCCATGTCCAAAATTGTCTTCTGTCACTTTTCTCCAGTCTGCTTTATTTTCTCCCTCTTCCTTACTACGTAAGGAAGTATTATTAGTTGTTAAATCTTGCAACTCTGCCACTACCACAACATTGGTATTTATGTAGAGTTCACTTGGCTACCTCCTGTGTAGTAAGCACAGAGTAGGCTATGGTAATACTAACCTAATGATGATGACTTAACCCCTAGGAAAGTTATCCAGTTGATAAATATTTACATAGGGTTATTTGATTCATTCATTAATAATTGATTTTTCAAAATAATCCTGACACTTTTGTTTCTATTTTTCTTTAACTTGCTGTCCCCTAGGTCTAAAGCTGATCAGGGCTGGTGATTTTTCACCTTCTATCTTACTTGATTGAAGTAGTTCTTATGCATAATTTGTGCTGCTACTGCTTGATTGCTGTATTTACAACAAGTATACGGTTTTTGTGCTTATATTTAGCTTGAGCCTTGAGGCTGCTGTGACTATAACTTCAGTTTGTGAAATGTAACCTTCATTATTTTTGGTGAATGTATAATATGCATGATTTTGCAGGGGGAATTTTATTGAATTGTGTATTTATTTTTCCTCCTAGAAAGAACAGGGTGTCCTTGATTCTTTGCATGTTGATGCACTAATTTTATGTTATGTTTGCCTCTTTGGTGGTTTCTTTAACTGTGTTAATGCTAGCAAACTTCAGAGTAATGTTATGATTCAAAAGCTTTACAATAACATAGGTATGTAATTCCTTTTAAATTTTTGTTTTTCTCCAAGATAGTAATAATGTTTTTCAGAAAACCATTAACAATCTTCCTTTAGCAAAGGAGGTTGGGAAAAACTTGGAAAGTATTTAAGGTATATGCTCCCATAACTTCAAAGTCTAGGCAGAGCACGATGGCTCACACCTGTAATTCCAGCACTTTGGGATCACCTGAGGTCAGGAGTTTGAGACCAGCCTGACCAACATGGAGAAACCCCATCTCTACTAAAACTGCAAAATTAGCCGGGCGTGGTGGCACATGCCTGTATTCCCAGCTACTCGGGAAGCTGAGGCAGGAGAATCACTTGAACCTGGGAGGCAGAGGTTGTGGTGAGCCGAGATTGTGCCATTTCACTCCAGCCTGGGCAACAAGAGTGAAACTCCATCTCAGAATAAATAAATAAATAAATAAATAAATAAATAAATAAATAAATAAAAAATAAAATCTACTCCACTTTCTAAAACACTGTCTTAGATTCACTTTTTCACCCATTAAAAATTATTATTTAGAATAAAATGTAGGATGCTGCTTATTTGAGCTGCTATTCTTAATATCCATAGTTTCATATTCTCAAAACCACCAAGCAGCATTCATAGAATTTAACAATAATATTATTGACCTTGTAAATTATAGAAGTAGTACATCTGTCAGTGTAGAACAAATAAAAATACAGAAAAAGATAAGGGTAGCAAGATTTTCATTACTCAGAAAGTACTGCTGTCAACTGCTGTTTTTTTCCAATGTCTTTTTTTATATCTATGTGAGCATATTTGGCACACCCTTATACGTAACACAAAATTGAGACAGTGCTATATAGACAAATTTGCATTCTGCATTTTTCAATTAATATTATTCTGTGGATTTCCAAAATAGATCTGTATTTTCTTTTCTGAAAATACGATTTCTAATAGGCTTCATAGAGTTACTATTATAGAGACAGCATAGTTCAATAAATATCCTATTGGCAGATATTTAGGTTGTTTCAACTTTTCATATGAAGGAAAATTATATGTACGTCTATGTAGACACTTTTTGGGCATCTCTTGTTACATTCGTAAAAATAGAGTTCTGAGTCAAAGGCTTTAAATTATTTAAATTCTTTTGATACATATTTCTACATTATTTACAAAAAAAAAGGTCAAAATTGTACCTTATTTTTATTTGTATTTTTACTTTTTCTGAGACACTGTCTTGCTCTGTTCCCCAGGCTGGAGTGCAGTGGTATGAGATCTAGGCTCACTGCAACCTCTGATTCTCCCACCTCAGCCTCCCAAGTAGCTGGGACTACAGGCGAATGACACCACGACTGGCTAAATTTTGTATTATTAGTACAGATGGTGTTTCGCCATGTTGGCCAGGTTGGTCTCCATTTCCTGACCTCAGGTGATCTACACTTTGGCCTCCCAAAGTGTGGGGATTACGGGCGTGAGCCACTGCACCTGGCCTAAAATTGTATCTTATATTCTTTGAAGTTGTATTTTTGGCTATCTTTTGAAGGTGAGCAAGTTATTGGCTAGTTATATTTCCTTATATTAGAACTGTTGCTTTAGGCTTCTATTTTTTGTAGCAATTATTTTTCTTATTGGATTGTCAGAACTCTTTACATGTTAAATATTTGATTTTTTCATACTTTTTGTAAACTGAGCCACTGATTCCTGTGCTAGGTACTGATCAAACAACATAGAAAAAGTACTCACTTTCACAGAGATTGTTTTAATGGTCAGAAACATAATAAACAGGTAACCAAGTAAAATGTAGCTAGTGATACAGGTATGGAATAGGGAAGGTAATTCTTCAACTAAGGTGCCATGCAACACTTCACTTTCTCACATTGTCTTTATTTGGGTCCTGCATATTTCTCATCATATTTCTTCTTTTTCACGTTTTGTTGATTTTTGTTTATGCTTAAAACATTTGTGAAAATTTAATATAATACTTTTCTATGTAGCTAAAAAGTCTTATTTTGATCATGCACTTATCAGAGACTGCTTGTGACAATTCTGAAAAGTACCATTCTCTCATAGTAATATATTACAATTTGTATTTGTTTATGACTTGCCAATAATGTGAAGTTCTAGACTAATTTCAGTAGCAAACAGAAAGGCCACAGAATGTAAAAAAAAATTATAGTTCAGTATGCGCCATGTAGTTTTGTCACAAGAAAAATTAAAGTGTGGAGGTGTTTGGATGTGGCAAATACATCTGAAGAGAATCCTTAAGTGTACCCATTCATGCAGGTACAATTTAAAAGGAGGTCATCTGAGAAGATCTTCTCATCTTTTCTTATGACCACTAGCTTTGACAAATAATAAAACACCTTAAGGAATAAGGATAAAATAGGGGGCCCACAACAATGGTATGATTGTTTTATTAGTTCCTTCTCATGCTGCTGATAAAGACATACCCGAGACTGAATGTATCTTTTCATTTATAAAGAAAAGAGGTTTAATTGACTCACAGTTCAGCATGGCTGGGAGGCCTCAGGAAACTTACAATCATGGCTGAAGGGGAAGAAAACACATCCTTCTTCACATGACAACAGCAAGGAGAAGTGCTGAGCAAAACATGGAAAAGCCCCTTATAAAATCATCAGATCTCCTGAGAAGTCACTCCCTATCATAAGAACAACATGAAGGTAACCTCCCCCATGATTAAATTACCTCCTACCAGGATCCTTCCACAACACGTGGGGATTATGAGAGGTAAAAATTAAGATGACAGTTGGATGGGGACACAGCCAGATCATATTGTTCTGTCCCTTGCCCCTCCAAAATCTTATGTCCTCACATTTTAAAAGGCAGTCATGCCTTCCCAGTGATATCCCAAAATCTTAACTCTTTCCAACATTAACGCAAGAGTCCAAGTCCAAAGTCTCATATAAGACAAGGCAAGTTCCTTCCACCCATGAGCCTGTAAAATAAAAAGCAAGTTAGTTACTTCCTGGATACAATGAGGGTACAGGTATTGGGTAAATACACCAGTTCCAAATGGGAGAAATTGGCCAAAACAAAGGGGCTACAGGCCCCACGTGAGTCCTAAATCCAATAGGGCAGTCATTAAACCTTAAAGCTCCAAAATGAATTCTTTTGACTCCATGTCTCACATCCAGGGTGCACTGATGCAGGAGTTGGGCTCCAATGGCCTTGGGAAGCTCCACCCCTGTGACTTTTCAGGGTACAGCTCCCCTTCTCGCTGCTTTCACAGCCTGGCATTGAATGTCTGTGGCTTTTCCAGGTGCAGGGTGCAAGCTGTCAGTGGATCTACCATTCTGGGGTCTGGAGGACAGTGGTCCTCTTCTCACAGCTGCACTAGGCAGTGCCCCAATGGGGCTATGTGTGGGAGCTCCAACCCAACATTTCCCTTCTGCACTGCCCTAGCAGAGGTTCTCCATGAGGGCTCTTCCCCTGTAGCAAACTTCTGCCTGCATGTGCAGGCATTTCCATACATCCTTTGAAATCTAGGCGGAAATTTCCAAACCTCAATTTTTGACTTCTGTGTACCCAGAGGCTCAACACCAAGTGGAAGCCACCAAGGTTTAGGGCTTGCATCCTCTGAAACAATGGCCTAAGCTGTACTTTTGCCTTTTGCAGCCACAGCTGGAGCTGAAGCATTTGAGCACTATGTCACAAGGCAGCATAGAACAAGGGGGCCTTGGGCCCAGCCCAGGAAACCATTTTGCCCCATAGGCCTCCAAGCCTGTGATGGGGGGGTGGCCGTGAAATTCTCTGACATGCCCTGGAGACATTTTCCCAGTTGTCTTGGTGATTAACATTTGATTCCTTGTTACTTATGCAAATTTCTGCAGCCAGCTTCAATTTCTCCCCAGAAAATGAGGATCACATTTTCTGTCACATCATTGGGCTGCAAATTTTGCAAACTTTTATGCTCTTCTTCCACTTGAATTCCTTGCCGTTTAGGAATTTATTCCACAAGATACCCTAAATCATCTCTCTCAAGTTCAAAGTTCCACAGATCTCTAAAACAGGGGCAAAATGCCACCAGTCTCTTTGCATAAAGAGTGACCTTTACTCCAGTTCCCAACAAGTTCTCATCTCCATCTGAAACCACTTCAGTCTGGACTTCATTGTCCATATCACTATCATTGTCCATATCACTTCATTGTCCATCTCATGTATTTTTGGTCAAAGCCATTCGACCACTCTCTAGAAAGTTTCAAACTTTCCCACATATTCCTGTCTTCTGACTCCTCCAAGTCTCTAGGAAATTCTAAACTTTCCCACATATTTCTGTCTTCTTCTGAGTCCTCCAAATGGTTTCCACCTCTGCATGTTACCCAGTTCCGAAGTCGCTTCCACATTTTTGGGTATCTGTACAGCAGTGCCCCACTCTCGGCAGTACCAATTTACTGTATGAGTTCATTCTCATGCTGCTAATAAAGACATACCTGAAACTTGGTAATTTATAGTGGAAAGAGGTTTAGTTGGCTCACAGTTCAGCATGGCTGTCGAGGCCTCAGGAAACTTACAATCATGGCGGAAAGAGAAGCAATAACGTCTTTCCTCACATGACAGCAGCGAGGAGAAGTGCTGAGCAAAACAGGGAAAAGCCCCTTATAAAACCATCAAGTCTCGTGAGAAGCCATTCACTATCACAAGAACAGCATGAGGGTAACTGCCTCCTTATTAAATTACCTCTCACCAGGTCCTTCCAATGACATGTGGGGATTATGGGAACTACAATTCAAGTGAGATTTGGGTGGGGACACAGCCAAACCATATCAATGGTTGATTTCATGTGTCAACAAGACTGGGCTAAGGAATCCTAGAAAGCTGGTAAAGCATTATTTCTGGATGGATCCATGAGGGTGTTGGTGAAAGAGATTACCATTTAAAATGGTAGAGAAAAAAATGTCTGACCTCACTAGTCAAGCATCATATAATCCACTGGAATAGAATAAATAGGCAGAGAGAGGGTACATTTCTCTGTCTTTTCTTATCCTCAAATAGAAATTATACCATTAGCTTCCCTGGTTCTTAGACCTTGATACTCACCCTGAATTATACCACTGGCTTTCTTGGTTCTCCAGCTTGCAGAGGGTGTGCCTTGGGAGTCCAGTGCCTCCAAGATCATATAAGCCAGTTTCCATAATAAATTTTCTCTTACCTATCTATCTTTCTATTATCTATCTACCCTATTGGTCTGTTTTTCTGGACCATCTTAATTTATACAGATGGTATTCAGCAGTAATTGAGAAGGGGGATATAGGTTAT
Organism: Homo sapiens; assembly: GCF_000001405.40. Classification (NCBI taxonomy): domain Eukaryota; kingdom Metazoa; phylum Chordata; class Mammalia; order Primates; family Hominidae; genus Homo; species Homo sapiens. Next base: position 92,215,369 of record NC_000006.12, on the reverse strand, counting down.
GGGCTCTGATAGAGGAAAAGTAAAAAGATAGAAGGTTACAAAAGGAAGAAAATAGTCACTGATACAGTTTGGGTGTGTCCCCACCCAAATCTTATCTTGAATTGTAACTCCCACAATTCCCACATGTTGTGGGAGGAACTCGGTGGGAGGTAATTGAATCAGGGGTGAGTCTTTTCTGTGCTGTTCTTATGATAGTGAATAAGTCTTACAAGATCTGATGGTTTTAAAAATGGGAGTTTCCCTGCACAAGTTTTTCTCTCTTTGCCTGCTGCCATCCATGTAAGATGTGACTTGCTCCTCCTTGCCTCCCACCATGATTGTGAGGCCGCCACACCCATGTGGAACTGTAAGTCCATTAAACCTCTTTTTCTTCCCAGTCTTGGGTATGTCTTTATCAGCGGTGTGAAAACGGACTAATATAGGCTCTTATGTGACCCTCGTTTCCTCTGACCCAGCAAGGACATCTCTATACATAGGTGCTAGAAAGTTATAACCATATAGAAAATAAGTTTATGAAAGACTCTCCATAACACCTTGCAGGACAAAAAGTAGGAAAGGTGTTTGAGGATTCTCAGGCAATCAGACAATGAATTATATTTTCAACACCATGCCAGGCTTTGATTAAGATCTGTAATTAGAAGGCAGAGGTAAAAGGATAATTAATCTTGGTATCTAATTAGATTTTTATAATGATTAGTGTGGTGTTAATAATTTTGTCACAAATGAATAAAGTTTAAACTTATCTGAAGTTCCACTCTCCTACAGCTATGTGTGGTGGAGAGTGCAAAGCAAAAGTGTAAACTGAAGGGGCAAATGACAACTATTAACAGGATAAGAGCACCAGGAGTGCTTAGGACAGAATTGGAGGAAGAAGTGTGGGCAAAGGAATGTACTCTTTCATTTCTGGGGAAGAAGTATTTGTGAACTACTAAACGCTTAACAAAATGCTAACTCCCAAATGAGCCTTATCAGTCATGTGATCACTAGTTCTTCCAGGAGCAGAGAGAGGAATCCAAGTCATTCAATCTGATAGACCTTCTCAACAGATTTCCAGCTTCATGGGTGTTCTACTCCCTGTACACCATTCAGGAAAAAGTGACAGCATATCCCTCCCTTCCAAACCTGTCATTATGGACTTAAAAAAAAGTATCTATTTTTTTTTCCAGAGAGATGTCACTCACCCTTCTCAAAACTAAATTTAGCTAAAGAATTTTTATGTATATGTCTCTTGCTGAAATGTAAAAATGTTATTGTTAATATGAACAGCTACTATAACCTTGTTTTACCATTTGACAATACAAAATAATTAGTTCTGACGAACTATATGTGTGTGCTTATATATTTATAGATATTAAACTTCATGTTTTGTTATATGAGTCCTAGCGCTGAAAAGTTTAATGCAGTGCCTAGAACAGTGGAATATATCTTAGGAATTCAATAAATAATGTATAATTAACCCATTTAACATATTGTGTTAGCTATAATAATGATGATGATGACAATGGCAACGAAGGCAATGATAATGATGGCAATTATGATTTCTATTCACAAAGCTAACATTTATTGAACTGATAGTGACTGATACTGTGCTAAGCACAACATGAACAATTATGTCTTGCACTTTCTCTAACAACCCAATTTGGAAGGCACCATTGATAATATTTAGAGATGTGAAACATGATCAAGGCCTCAAGAGAGCTAGAATATTAATCAGACTGTTTAGAAAAGCCCATGTCCTCAACTACCACACAATATTTCCATAATAAGTTTGGTTTTAAGTCAGCAAAGTGTTACACATACTTTGGTACTATTCATTGTTTGTGAGATTCTCTGTGCCTAAGAGTTCACATTTTGTTTCCTTAGACACCAAAAATTTCATGAATGTTTATTGCAGGCTCAGGTTCATGCCCTGTGTGCCGTTGGGTGTGGGTGGACAGTTTTCAAACTACCTCCTCCACAGAAACCAAACAACTGATATTCTGCATTGGGAAAACATACAGTACTAAAACATAGGTTTATGATATTTTATATTTATTTATTTTTATTTCAGGTTTTTAATGAAGACTTTACTTTTTAAGAACAGTTTTAATTTCACAGAAACATTGAGGGACAGTACAGAGATTTCCCATGTATCTTCTACCTCCACACATACATGGCCTGCCCATTATCAGTATTCCCCTGAAGAGTGGTACATATTCTACAGTTCATGAATCTACACTGACCCATCATTATCAGTGAAATGATTGTTTATAATATCATCATTATCAGTGAAACCATAGTCTACACAAGGGCTCAGTCTTGGTGCTGCACATTCTATGAGTTTGGACAAATGTATAATGACATGTCTCTATAATTATAGTAACATACAAATAATTTTCACTGCCCTGAAAATTGTCTATGCTCCCTTGTTCATCTTTTCCTCACTGTAGCACCTGGCAACCACTGATCTTTTTATTTTCTCCATAGTTTTGCCTTTTCCTCAATATAATATAGTTGAAATCATCTTGCATATGGCATTTTCAGATGGGCTTTTTTAACTTAGTAATATGCATTTAAATGTCTCCCTTGTCTTTCCTTGGCTCAATAGTTCATATATTTTTATTGTCTGGGTGTACTACAGTTTATTTATCCGTTCACCTACTGAAGAACATCTTGGTTACTTCCAAGTCTTTGCAATTATGAATAAAGCTGCTATAAATATCAATTTGCGGGTTTTTGTGTGAACCTGAGTTTGCAACTCCTTTGGGCTAATATCAAGGAGTATGATAACCGGACCATATAGTAAGAGTGTGGTTAATTTCTTAAGAAACTGCTGCACTATCTTCCAGTGTGGTTGTATGATTTTGGATTCCCATGAGCAGTGAGAGTTCCTGCTGCTCTACATTCTTGCCAGTATTTGGTGTCTGTTTTACATTCAGCCTTTCTACTAGGCCTATAGCAGTATCTCATTGTTGTTTTTATTTGCATTTCCCTGGTGACATGATGTGAAACATCTTTTCCTATGCTTATTTATAATCTGTGTACCTTCTTTGAAATTTATTTTTAGTGTCTTATAATTTTTTAAATGGGAGAGTTTTTAAAGTAAATAGCTCACTTTAAGAAATCTCTCTTAAAGAATATTCTAGGTCCACAAAACTGAAAGTTTAGGGTAGAGCTTCCACATACAGTTATACCAAAGACCTTGGATAGTCAAAAGGGTCATACTGCTTACCTGGAGCAGGGGCAACATCAGCATGGAGTAAGAGGACACTCTTTGGTGTTAAGGCATTTTCTGTTCTCCTGAGGCCATCTTCCCAGAGACAGATCCTTTTCTAAAGACATTGAATTAAGCTCACAGTGGGCTTGACTGTGGACACCTCAAATAAATTATGTGATAATCACACAAATTCAGGGAAGCTAGGAGAAAGAGCAGTCACTAATGGTGTGTGGATTCCAGAGTCGCATTCTCAGCTCTTGATTTACTTTTCAGAGAAAAGTCTAAGCAAAAAAAAAAAAAAAAGGGGGGGGGGTTTTAAAAATATTTGGCACAATTTTTTCTGCAGTTAAGTGCCAACATTGAGAATATACAAAAACTTTTCAGCTGAGCAACAACACAATCTCAAGGCAAAAGATCAGTTTTATCCATAAATAAACATACATAGGGTGGATTAAAACCTCTAAAAAATTGAAGGTAAATATTTGCAAAGCAGCTGAACAAAGTTCTGTATTTAGTGGCAATTAGTGAAAGTAGAATAAATGTCATTTTAAATAAGAACCCTGTTTGGGTCCCGTAAGTGTAATCCTGCAGGATCCTCAGCCACGATGGGGTGGATTTTCCCTCTCTCTTTAAACAATTAGGAAACTAGACAAAAATACATGAAACAATGCTTTTAGACATTGGATAACAGGCAGTATCAGGGTTTTGTTCCTTGGAAAAAAGGGGAGCAAAAAGGTGAGCCCCACAATTTTGTACTCTATGGAAGTAATTAGCAGGCCACAGTAGAGACAGAGGATATGCCAACAGAGCCTAATAGTTGTGCTTAACTTGAGGAATGAGAAGCTAAGAGTCAGAGAGTCCAAACCTAAGAAATTTGAGAAGCTAACTATCAGAGAGAAGAGAGTTTTGGAGGTCTAAAGAAGGGATTCCTCAAACCTTTGGCTAAGTAATTATCTGTGCCTTTGTAAGAGGAAACTACCTAAGGCTAGAAAAATAACTTTGGAAAGCAATAGCCAAAAACATCCAGTAGTTCACCTGGGCTGGGGACAGTTTACAACCTCACTACCCAAAGTGAAAAGACCTCATAGCCCACAAAGTATTGGAAAGGGTCCCAGATGATATCATTTTAGGAGTGAGATTTAATTAATCCCATACTAAAAGATGCTCTAGTTTCGCCCTGCCTAAAAAAACAGCTTAATGCTGTCAAACTGATTCCAAGTAACTTAATTGCCTGCTAGACAAAGCTGAACCCTAGGTAAACAAAATCACGAAATACAGAAAACAACAGTGCAATGCAATCTTCACAATGTCTAGAATCAAATAAAAATACAACAAGAGGCAGAAGAATGTGACCTATAAGGAGAAGAAAACATAATCAATAAAAACAGGCCCCAAAATGATAGAGATGATCTTAAAATAGCTATTGTAAATATACTCCATATATTCAAGAAGAAAGATCAAATCATTGAGATAATATATGACCCAGATGAGCTCCTATGAAGAAAAACACAGTATCTAAAATGAAAAGATAGTGAATGGCATACCAGCAAATTAGATTAACAGCAGAAGGGTTTGAAAATACAGTTTAACAACACTGGGCTTGGGGACACTGATCTGACCCCTGTGCAGTTGAAAATCTACATATAACTTTTGACTCTCCAAAAACTTAATTACTAATGGCCTACCATTAACTGGAAGCCTTACCAATAACATAAACAATGAACATATTTTTTGTATGTTATGTGTATTATATACTGTTATTTTTACAGTAACAATAAAGTAGGATAGAGATAAGAAAATCACAAGGAAGAAAAAATTGTATTTATAATTTTTTAAGTGAAAGTGGATTATCATAAAAGTCTTCATCCCCGTTATTTTCACATTGAGTAGGCTGAGGAGGAGGAAGAGAAGGGTTTGGTCTTGCTGTCTCAGCGGTGGCAGAGTGAGAGAAAATCCACTTATAAGTGAACCTGTGCAGTTCAAACCTGTGTTATTCGAGGGTCAACTCTACACTAATATAAACTATAGAAAATAAAAAACAAAGAGAAAATAAAGATTGAAATAAATAAACAAACAGAGCATCAATGGTGTGCAGAATCATATAGAAAAATCTAATATTTTGGAGTTTCAGAAAGAAAAGAGAGAGAGAGAGACAGAGACAAAAAAAAAGTTTGGAAGATTAATGGTCAAAACTTTTCCAAATGTGATGGAAAATATAAATCCACCAAGCAAAGAGGCCCAAGTAAACACTCCATGTAAAAACAGTAAGGCACCTCATAATTAAATTGCCAAAAACAAGTAAAAACATCTTTAAAACAGCCAGAGGAAAAAGACATATTATGTATAGAGAAACACAAATAAAAATTATAGCCAACTTCTTGTCAGAAACTTTGCAAGAAAGAAAAACTATAGCAATGCATTTATATGTTGTAAAAAGCAAAACAAAACAAAAAACCTTGCCACCCTAGCAACTATGCCCAGTACACATACCTTTCTGAAATAAAAACAAATAAAGACTCTTTCTGGAAATCAATAGCTGAAACTATTGCCAACAGACTTGCAATATAAGACAGGTTAAAACAAGATCTTTAGGCAGAAATAACATGACACCAAATGGAAATTCAGATCTTCCCACAAAAATAAATAGCCATATAGGTGGTTAATATTTCCATGAATATAAAAAAGACATACTTTTCCATTTTTAATCTTTAAAAAATAGTTGAATATTAAAAGCAAAAGGAATAACAATACATGCTATGCTGGGGTGGGGACTAACTGCCAGGGAAAGTAGATTTGGTCTACTTATAAATAATGACAAGCAAATATACATTCTAGATAGAATGCAGAGCAAAGAGATATAAACCTAAACAAAACAGTTTCAGAGAAGTCAACCATATTAAAGGATGAAGGGACAAGGAGTGTCATTAAATCATCACTTTCTACTCTGCATCTACTATCTGCTCATTATCATATTGTTCAGTACATAAGAAAATGCCATAAAGATAACATTATTTTGACTCCAAAGCATTTGATATTAATGATGGCTTTATATTTTAATTAAGTCATGACTTGTAAAGTTCACAAAGATGTAAGAATGTGTTTCAGTATTAGTTGCTAAGATGCATATTAAAAAGTGTTACCTCATTTTTCACAAAAATAGACTAAAATTTTACACCTGCTTTAGAGTAGAGTATATACTTTGAATGAAAAGGTAAGATGTCCACAGAGCACATTTTATATTTCAAAAACTAGAAAGGAAGAAAAAATCTTCAATTCATAAGAACAAATTAAAATAACCATTGGATAATTCAAACTGTGATTGAGAGGCTTATATCCTTAGAAGCGTAAGAAACTGCATTAAACTCCTATAGCTATTACCCTGAACCTGTAATTACATCAGCACATTTTTGCTTTCTTTTAGGGATCATCACAGCATGAGAGAAAGGAGGAGTGGGGAAGGAAAGATAGTATTCATTACATTCTACAGAATGTCTAACCATAGAGTAAACGAACAGATGATCGGAATGCCGTTCCAATAAGAACTTTTCCCATTGTTAATTACGTGGTCTTAGAATCCTTGAAAGACAACGTGACAGACTTAGGCATCAAGAGTATTTGGGCAAGCACAAATCCTCTTAATAAAATAAAAATATTTGAAAACAAAAGCAGAAAAACTGTATAATCAGGATTTTAGCCCTTGACATTACATTTCTGTCTCATTATGAAAACAACCTTGGAGCTAATCATATAAAAACCTTATAAATACTCCCTACCATCAAAGGTATTTACATAAAATAATAACAATATAAAACACCAAAGCTCTAGTTCAAGCAAAGCAATATGCAATTCTAACCTTCTTAGTTTAAAAACAAATCTGAATAAAGGTCATATACAAGGTTTTCAATATACTTTCCACTGCACTATTTCAGCAAAAGAAAAATTAGCAGTCGAAGCCGCACTTTGAGGAGATAGTAAAATATTGTATTTTGATATTAATTAATACGGTAAATACATAAACACTTAGCTCCAATTATCTAAATAAATTTAATTATATTTAATAACATTAGTAACCTTCCTAGTACAGATTAAAATTGTTACATTTATTTGCACGCAAGGAAAGGTAAGCAGTTTTCTCAGAACTACTCAATAAGCTACAATTATAGTTATTTATTTAGTGTTTATTATATATGTGTGTGTTTGAAACATATATATGATATACTTGTATAAGAATGTGTTTATATATTAGTATGTTTATATACCATGTTGTATATATAACGATATTATATGCATATATGTATATATTTATATTTGAGTGTGTGTATATGTAGATATGATATCTAGCACTATAAGAATTGCAATATAATTAATCAAAATTATTAAGATTAAGGTTTTATCTAGGTTAGAATAGCACAGCATTGATATTATGTCATATCTCTCAATTAAGTTCTTATTTAATCAAAATCACAAAAGAAAACACATCGTTATGGCAATATGGATGTGAAATCTCTAGTGCTATAAAAAACACAAATCTAAGGGGTATAGAATCCTAAGCATGAGATTGGAATGTAGCATTGGGTATTTGAATTAGTGAATACAAAGTCAATAAATAAATATCAATTATATTTCTGTATACTAGAAGGAAATAAATAAAGGGTAAAATTCAGAAAAATACTATTCTACTCATAATAACAAGAAAAATGATAAAACACTTAAGAATAATTTTAACCAAACCCATTTCATACTCTTATGCTGAAAACGATAAAACTTTGCTATGATAAATTAATGAGTGTTACATACATTGACAAATATCCAAAAGTTCCTAGATCAGAAGATTCAATATTCTTAAATTGATAACTGTTATCCCAATGATAATTCAAGTATGTTTTAAAATAGAAATTTACAAGCTATTTCTAAAATACATATGAAACTGCAAAGATTCTCAAACAGCCAAAACAATCTTGAAATAAAGGCAAAACAAAACACAAATTGTGAAACAAGTGCTACCTGATTTTAAGGGTTACTAAAAAGGCAGTATAAGATTGACATAGGATAAGCAAATAGGTCAAAGAAATAAAGTATCTATTCCCATATTCAATAGAAAATGAAAAATATTTTCAACAAATAATGCTGAATATATACATACACATATATATGTATGTGTATATATGTGTGTGTGTGTCTATATATATATATGTCTATATATATATAAACTTTGGGATCTACCTCACACCATATAGAATAATTGACTTAAGATGGATTATGCTTTAAACATAAAATCTAAAAAAGTTTCCAGAAGAAAACATAATGGAAATATCTTTGTGACACAGGGATAGACAAATATTTCTAAGTTTATATACAGCAGTAACTTTAAAAGAACAAAAGTAAACATAGACTTTTTAAAAAACAAAAGCATTTTCTCATCAAAAAACACTGCCAAGAAAAATAAACAGGTGAGTCACATATGGTGAAAAAAATACTTGCAAAGATACATGTAACAAAGGACTTATATTCAAAATATATAAATAGGCTGGGGGATGTGGCTCACTTTTTTAATCCCAGCACTTTGGGAGGCTGAGGCGTGCAGATCACTTGAGGTCAGGAGTTCGAGGCCAGCCTGTCCAAAATGGTGAAACACCGTCTCTACTAAAATAAAAAAATAAAATGAATAAATAAGCTGGGCGTGGCGGTGGGCACTGTAATCCCAACTATTCGGGAGGCTGAGGCAGGAGAATCACTTCAACCCGGGAGGTATAGGTTGCAGTGAGCCAAGATCATGCCACTGCATTCCAGCCTGGGCAACAGAAAGACTGTCTCAAAAAAAAAAAAAAATATATATATATATATGTATATATACATATATATCTACAAATAGTTTCTAAAACTGAAATAAATGCACACCCACTTCATAAGGAAGACTTACAGGTGGCCTAAGAGCACATGAATCATGGAACATCACTAATCATAAGGGAAATGCAAATTAGGACAACTAGAATCGCTGAAACAAACAAGCAAAAATGATGATATGAAATGTTCATGTATATAGGAATAGCTGCAACCCTCTAAAACATCGCAGGTGGGAATGCAAAATATTAAAAACACGTAGGAGAGTGGCTTATCAGTTATTTCTCATATCAAACACATACCTACCTCTAAGACTCAGTAGTTCTACTCAAGAGAAAACAAAATATATGCCCAAGGAGATATATGCCCAAATTATTTGCCCAAGAGAAATAAACAAATTATATATATATATATATATATATATATATATATATATATGTATATGTATGTTCCCCAAATGACTCATATGATAGTATTTAAAGCAGTTTTATTCAATAGACAACAAGTGGAAGCAATCTAAATGTTCATCAGCAGGACAGTGGACTGAGAAATCAGAGTATATTCTTACCATTGTATACTAATCAACAATTGAAAGGAATAAACTACTGTTACAGGCAATGATATGGTTAGGCTTTGTGTCCCAATCCAAATCTCATCTTGAATTATAATCCCCATAACCCCCATAGTCCCCATGTGTCAAGGGAGAGACCAAGTGGAGGTAATTGGATCATGGGGACAGTTTCCCCTATGCTGTTCTTTTGATAGTGAGTTCCCCTGAGATCTGAATCTGATAGTGTTATAAATGTTTGGTAGCTCCTCCTGCTTTCATTCTCTCCCCTGCCGCCCTGTGAAGAGGTGCCTTCTGCCATGATTGCAACTTTTTTGAGGCCTCCTCAGCCTTGTGAACTGAGAGTAAATTAAACCTCTTTTCTTCATAAAATTACCCATTCTCGGGCCTTTATTTAAAGCAGTGTGAGAACAGACTAATACATGCAATAAGGTGGAGGAATCTCAGAGATATTTTGGGCTTGAGAAGCTGAGCACATGTTAGTACTTAATGAATATTTCCATTTATAGGCATTTCTACAAAAGGCAAAACTAAATTTTAGTGCAAATAATTAGAACCTTAGAGGTGAAGGTTGATTGGGAAGGGACAGAAAATGAGAAAAATGTTCTTTTACATAAATAAGAGTGAGTTACCCGGATTTATGTGTTTTTCAAAACTCATAGAATTGGACACTTAAGATTTTTGTGCATTACTGTAAATTAATTCATCTCAAAAAATAACTGTAAACAAAACACAATAAGAACAAAAATGAAATTCTAAGGATATAAAAATGCCAACAATTAAACACAAACTTGTATTTATTTAATTACAAAAAGTGAACAGTTCCAAACCTTTCCTCAGTCGTCCTTCTAAAACAATTGTTGACTACCATTAACAGTTGGATATATAACTTTCCAAGACCTTTTTTCAATTTTCTACTTGTACATATAATAATAATTTACTGAAGGCCAGGCTAGGTGGCTTACTCCTGTAATCCCAGCACTTTGGGAGGCCAAGGGGGTGAATCACAAGGTCAGGAGTTTGAGACCAGCCTGGCCAATATGGTGAAACCCTGCTCTACTAAAAATAAAACAATTGGTGGGGCATGGTGGTGTGTGCCTGTAGTCCCAGCTACTCGGGAAGCTGAGGCAGAAGAATCACTTGAACCCAGGAAGCAGAGGTTGCAGTGAGCTGAGATTACAACACTGCACTCCAGCCTGAGAGACAGAGTGAGATTCCATCTCAAATAATAATAATAATAATAATAATAATAATAATAATAATAATTTACTGAAATAGCATTTTTTCTACACACTTTTTTAAAACTGGTATCCTTTACTCAGAAACAGATCATACTTTAATTTTTGAAATGGCTTATCCTTTTAAATAGCTGAAAACTGCTCCATAATATATATTATAGTTTATTTGGCTATTCTTTCTTTAATAAATGCTTAAGTTGTCTTCAGTATTTCATTTTGCATAAACAATGCACTTTAACAATTTTGCATAGTTCAATTCCTAAAACTGTAACACTAGGTCATAAGTATACATATTTTAAGTTGTGATAACCTCTTGCTTATTGCCCAACAACTTTCACACCCAGCAACAGAATGAGAGTGTATCGTTTCTCATGAAGTCATTACAACTGGTATAATGAGTAAAATTACATACTTGTCATTGTAAAAAATATAATGGATGAAGACTCTCAGAAGAGATAACTAGAATGGTTGAAATGAGCTCCTGTTTAAACCGTTTCCCAATCTTCTATTAGGTAGAATTTTGGTAAGAGATAAAATAATCATATAACATAGTTCTAACAAAATAATTGCTAGAGTGTCAATGCTTAGAGTCCCTTTATAAAAGATGTGTGGAGATTCATCCTTAGAAAAATTGTCACAAGTTATTTAAACAATATATTCTAATCACTCTGTGCTTTACACATTTCATAATTCTTCCCAACTTAGTGTGTTTGAGTGAAATTTACACAAACTGCGTTTGATATCAGCAATTATCCATTTAAAAAAAGAATGAAGTCAACTGCTTCTCATTTGAAAATCATTTGTATTTATAATATATTTTCCTATATTCCCACATAACCAGCTATTTATTTATTAGGGATGTGTGAATGGTAAATTCTTCATTTGATTTGTTCATTTTAATTATGTATAAATAATTTAGCATGCAGGCTTCCAAACATACAGAGCCAGTCCTCATCTTCTGCATATTCAATTTTCATATAAGCCAAAGCTGTAAACTTTACAATGATACTCTTAAAGTTCATTTTTTATTTAAAATATAGTCCTTTTAGTTTATTAGCTAATAAAAGACTATTACAACCTATTATATCAAGGCATTGTTTACAGTGGCTTCCATATTGTTTCTAACCTACTACATGACACCCATCCCCTCCAGCTTTGTAGGCTTTCCAAATATCCCACGGCACTATAATATGAAGATTTCTCATCCTATCTTTCTAAAACCTCCATAGGTTCTTATTTCTCCTCATTATCTGTTTCAAGATGTCTGTGCATTTTTCTATATAATCTTTCTCTTATGGAGACTGTTTTTATAGCTTCAAATATCACGTCCCTGGGTACTATTTTACATATATACTTGTCATGATTTCCCATTCTAAAAATGCAGTAGGTGGATATCCCCCTGCCTACAAGTAATTCTTTTAGAACAGTGGTCCCCAACCTCTTTGGCACCAGGGACTTTTTTCATGGAAGAAAATTTTTCCACAGACCAGGTAGGGAGGATGGTTTGGGGATGATTGAAATGCATTGTATTTATTATGCACATTATTTAAATTATTATTCCGTTGTAACATATAAAGAAATAATTATACAACTCACCATAATATAGAATCAGTGGGATCCCTAAGGTTGTTTTCCTACAACTAGATGATCCCATCTGGGGGTGATAGGAGATAGTGACAGATCACCAGGCATTAGATTGTCTTAAGAAGCATGCATCCAAGATCCCTCACATGTACAGTTCCTAATAGGTTTTGTGTTCCTATGAGAATCTAATGCTGTCATTGATGTGACAGGAAGCAAAGCTCAGGTGGTAATGCAAGCCATGGAGAGTAGCTGTAAATACAGATGAAGCTTTGTTACTGGTCTGTGGCTCAGGGTTTGGGGACCCCTGCTTTAGAATAGCCTGCTTCAGTCACCTCCAAAACACACCCAAATGGAAATACAACGTTTTCTTATACTAACTTCACCTCCTCTTTTTTTTTTTTGTTTACAGCACTGCATCTCATAGTATTTATGATAGCTTTTACAATTTACTTTTATTTTGTTCTTTCTGCTGTCATTTTGCCATCAAGGAACCGATTTATCTTAACCTATTTATCATCTCATCTCCAAGTAGACACCTTTACCTGTTTTATCTATACAACATAAACGATATCCCTAGCTGCACTCTCCCTGCCCAAGTCTCATCCTTGTCTACCCTGCTTCAGCTACATATTTTTCATGAAAGTCTTCTTTGACCATGTTACTTCTTACTGAGGCCTTTCCCATCTGAATTCTGGTCATTGTTTCTACAGTAGATAGGTCCTTCATAACCTACAATTAAGAGTAAAGCATAATCTGCCACCTACAGTCACTAAAGTATGTGTCTACAGTTTCTCATGATCCAGGTTAACCTCAAGTATTTATTTGTTTGTTCATTTATTTATTTATTTTCAGAGCTGTTTAGATTACCTGTCTCTTTAGTGGAAGTCCAGGATAGTATGAGCACCTTAGTCATTTTCATTTTTTTTGCAATAAAGAGTTTAATTGATATGAGTACTGACCCATGCAAGAAAACTGGAATTATAGCACTTAAATCACTCTCCCTGAAGGCTCAGAGGCAAGATTTTGTATGGATAATTTGGTAGGTAGGTGGCTAGGGGATGAATGCTACTGATTGGCTGGGGATGAAGTCATAGGGGTGAGGAAAACAGTCCTCATGTGTTGAGCCACCTCTGGGTGAGACCACAGGACCAGCTGAGTAATGAGTCATGAGTCCCAGTGGTGTCAGTCTGAAAAATATCTCAAAAACCAATTTCCAGTTCCATGATAGTGATGTTATCTATAGGAACAACTGGGGAAGTCACAAATCTTGTGACTTCTGACCACATGACTCCTGAGCAGTAAAGGATTATAGAAACTATGCCTACATTTTAGCAGATTTCACGTCCCTCCCATAATCTTATTTTTGCAGTCTTTTATTAGTCTTAACAGAGGCAGTGTTTAGTCCTTGAGCAAGGAATGGGTTAGTTTTAGGGAGGAACTATTATTATTTCTGCTTTCTAGTTAAACTGTACACTAAATTTCTCCCAAAGTTAGCTTGGCCTACACCCAGGAATACCAAGGACAGCTTGAAGATCAGAAACAAGATGGAGATGACTATGTCACATTTCTCCAACTCTCATAATTTTGCAAAGGTGGTTTCAATCCTTCCTTGGGCTTCAGCACACCTCACTCCTGAGTTGTGAGCCACTGAGATGGGAAAAGGCCAATGACTGCTCTAACTTTTTTTTTTTTTTTTTTTTTTTTGAGACGGAGTCTCGCTCTGTCGCCCAGGTGGGACTGCGGACTGCAGTGGCGCAATCTCGGCTCACTGCAAGCTCCGCTTCCCGGGTTCACGCCATTCTCCTGCCTCAGCCTCCCGAGTAGCTGGGACTACAGGCGCCCGCCACCGCGCCCGGCTAATTTTTTTTGTATTTTTAGTAGAGACGGGGTTTCACCTTGTTAGCCAGGATGGTCTCGATCTCCTGACCTCATGATCCACCCGCCTCGGCCTCCCAAAGTGCTGGGATTACAGGCGTGAGCCACCGCGCCCGGCCTGCTCTAACTTTTTCCTGTGATAGGGGGCATAGTTGGAATAGGAGTTTCTCACAGAGTAAATGGAGTGAAACTTTTGCGGTTGTCTGTATGTATTCACAGGTGCCTGGCTGGGGTCCTAAGGTGTGAATAACAAAAACATTACTGGATTTGTACACAGATTTAATGCAGCACATAAGTGAACAGTACACTATATGATAAATAATGAGCCCCAACTTAATGAATGAAAGTCCTAGTTTCAGGAATCCCTGTGGAACTGACCTGAAGCCTTAAGGGATACAGGTGAATGACCTTGAGAATCAATCAGATATGGAATCATCAGCAGAGATTTAAAAACAGCAAATAAGATTGGGCTCTAGTAACAGTTATACTGTAGTTTCTCTTGAAACATAACTTTTTTCCTCTTCATTTTCCCCTTTTTATCAAGGAAAAATCATAGTAGGACCAATTTATTTGCAAAATAAGCTCTAATTCCATTAGATTCTGCCTAATTATTGGCATACAATGCAGTAAAAGTAATTATTTGTCATATAAACATTTTTTAATTGGCTTTGCTGGGACTTTTATATTGGAATCTCAGATTAGGCCTTATAAAAGCCTCTATAGTCTAGCCAAGGATTTATTTGTGCCTGTAGATACCTATATGAATTTAAGATCTCTTATTGAGATCTCAGAATAACTTGGAGTTCCTGGATCCATCAGAAAATGACATTCTTTACTTACCACAGGCCAAGAACCATGTGCAGAACAAGGCACAAGGCCAGTTTCTCCAAAGGGCTTTTACCAGCTCCATAGGTCAACCTCCATTTCTCAAAGCAGCCTAAAAACATGTAATTCCAGTCAAAGCCATGGTAAAATAACCAGTGTCTCCAACTGTGTCCTGTTACAAAAACAACAACAACAACAACAACAACAAAAACTGTATCTTATGGAACTTATGCAAATAACGATATTGCCATAAGTTAAGAATAGTCACAAATAGTTTCCAAATTCTGGAGAAATCAGGTAGAGAGAAAGAAATATGCTCCAGGTTTTGCTTGTAGGAGAATACTTTACTAAATTGCTAAAAAGCTAGTCCTGGTGCAGTGGCTCACACCTGGAATCCTAGCACTTTGGGAGGCCAAGATAGGTGGGTTGCTTGACTCCAGGAGTTTGAGACCAGCTGAGCAACATGGTGAAACCCTGCCTCTCAAAAACTACAAAAATTAGCCTGGCATGGTGGTGTGCACCTGTAGTTTCAGCTACCTGGGAGGCTGGGGCGGGAGGATTGCTTGAACCCAGGAGGTTGAGGCTGTAGTGAGCAGTCATTCTGCCACTGCATTCCAGCCTGGAAGACAGAATGAGGCTCTGTCTCAAAGTTTAAAAAAAAAAAAAAGCTGTTAAGAGCTCAAAAGAAAAGTTTCCTTGACTCTGAAAAGCAAAACAATTGGCAACTTTTTGAACTAAAAGTTTTGAAACGATTATTTCGGTCTTCTGTTGGTTCAGTTCATGTGAGTAACTCCTATTCTGCTTGATATTCATGAACACATCAGTGCTCTATGTGAGCCGTGAAAGTTTTTCCCTTTATTCTAATGGCACAATCTCCAACATTACTAGAAACCTGCATTCAAGAGCACCTGTCTTGGTCCCACAGCTGATTATGAAATAGCTTTTTGTAAACGATCAAAGTAAAATAATTGTGGAGGACAAGTCTCAGAACAGCCATGGTTAATAACACAATTGAGAAGGAAATTTGTTTTTTTTTATGGCATAGAACAATTTAACATAACAATCTTAAGTATCACTAATAACATACACTGAGACATATCAGAATTACAGGAATTTCATACAATTTTGGAACAGATACTAATAACACGTTTATATAAATACAACTGAAAGAAAGCCAAATACTATTTCACACTTGAAAATACTTCCTGTATGATTCTAGCATACCAAAATAAGTCAAATGTCTCTTTTGGACTTTAGAAGACCTAGTATCTCAAAGGGTTAATGAGTTCAAAAGGGCTAAATTTAGAAGCTGAAATTTTGATGTTGGAAGTTTTATCAAATATTAAAGGTTTAAAACACTTGATATAACAAAACAGGACCAGAGGTCATTCATTTTGCCGAAGTGATAATTCAGAAAATTTCCAAAAAGCAAAAACCTTTATGCATTGATAGAGGTGAGACTCAGCTTTCCAAACAAGACCCAATAAAGACAGAATGAAGCAAAACGAATCTGTCTCTCCTCCCTCTTCCCTTTTTGTTTCCTTTTCTTGCAGTTTATTCAAAAGCAACAACATTTTTCATTATCTCTCAATATTACATGAAAATCTTGTTTAAAAAAGAAAACCAGTCGGGTGTGGTGGCTCATGCCTATAATCCCAGCACTTTGGGAGGCTGAGGCAGGTGGATCCCCTGAGGTCGGGGGTTCACGACCAGCCTGACCAACATGGAGAAACCCCATCTCTATTAAAAAAATATATATATATCTATATCTATCTATCTATATATATATATATATATTTAGCCAGGCATGGTGGTGCATGCCTGTGACCCCAGCTACTTGGGAGGCGAGGCAGAAAAATTGCTTGAAACCATGAGGTGGAGGTTGCGGTGAGCTGAGATCATGCCATTGCACTCCAACCTGGGCAACGAGAGCAAAACTCTGTTTCAAAAAAAAAAAAAGAAAAGAAAAAAAAGAAAACCAAATTTTACTTCAATATATTAATATCATTAGCCTCTCATGCACGTGATCCATGAAAAATTGCCCTCCAAAAATATTTGATGTTATGTTTACCTACCATCATCCCATGAATGGAGTTAATGCTGCATCACTGAAGAAACTAGCCTGCTTAAATTTAATTCCTGAATGACCATACCAATAGACACTCTTGAGAGGCTGAATATATAAATGGACAATGACCAGACATATATGACAATAGAACTCTGACCCATAAGCTCTGTAGAAACTATCAAAGAAAGCTCATGACCTAATCATTGACTGCCAACTTCCTTATTTTTAACCCTGCTTCTAACTCAGGGCCAACCAGAGAAAACCAATATTCTGCCCTAGGCAATCACATAGAATGTCCTGCTTTTAGTTAGCTAGTCAGCTCCCATGCCCAGTATTCTCCAACCAGAGCACACTTAAATCTTTTCTCTCTCTTTTCTCTCTCTCTCTCTCTCTCTCTCTCCACTCGAAAGCTTTTCCCTGCCTATCTTGGAATCTTTGCCAAATACAAGTCATGGTGTTTGACTCCCTAGCTATAGCAAGCTCTGAATAAATAGCCTTTGTTTGTTCTCGTTTGGTTGATTTTTATTTCTACACTCTGAAATAATTTGTTTTTGACATTCATTCAATCAAAATTGAAATATTTTGCAAGTGATGGCAACTTTATCTTTGTTTACTCATCCAGAGTGTCATAGTTGGTTCAGGGTGGTCTAACAAATTACCATAGACTGAATCGCTAAAACAACATTTATTTTTCACAGTTTCAGAGGCTGGGAAGCCCAATATCAAGGTGCTAGCAGATCTGGTGTCCAGTGAGAACCTGCCTCCTGATTTGCAGATGGCCGTGTTCTTGTATCCTCACTTGTGAGAGGCCTTTGTAGAGAGCAACTTGGGCCTCTTTCACATATGATCTTAGCCAAAAGGCAGAATAGCAATTGTGGCCTCTTTTATGAGGACATTATTCCTATTCATAAAGGTTCCAACCCTCATGACCTAATTACCTCTCAAAGGCCATACCTTCTGTTATAACATATTGAAGTTTAGGATTCAACATATGATTTTTTTTTTTTTTTAGGGAATCAAACATTCAGTCCATAACAAAGAGAAACTTTGAATCATTGAAGTTATCAGTGTTCATCCATTGCCAATGATATGTGTTAGGCCATGCTTTTCATCCTTTGATCGAACTGTTTGTAGAGCAACTTATTATGGATGCAACTGTATTTGTGGGCCATGAGTATTATATATGGAAGAATTACTAAGCCTGAATATATCACTTTAGATTAGGAAGGCGAAAATGGACACAGCTGCACAGGTCACTACTAGGAAATTTAACAATATCACCTCATTATTGGTTCTTGTTGTTAAAGATTTCCAGAATTTTCCAGGTGCCAAGGCTGGAAACACATACTTTTTCCTTCTAAATGTTCAATTCTGAAATCACAGAACCACTATGGGCCTGGGGAAAGCTGCAATCAATACCCTTTTCAATCTGCACTTTCAGTGAACACAATTAAGCAAGGGTACACAAGTAAAGCATTTTCTGATCTGAAAACAATAGGAACACAGAGATATAATGCTGTATCTATGTCTCCACTGATATCCTGAAAGAGCAATTTAATTTTGCAGCCAGCCATGTGTAATTCGAGTGTGACACATTAACAAATGGATGGCTGGCCCATCTTCTTGGCTTCCTGTCAGGAACTGGCTCTTCTGATGCCTTTGGGCATGTCAGAGGGAACTTTAAGCCCATTCAGAGCTGCATCTGAAGGAATTAGGGGACAAAAATGTGGACTGATGAGGACAGCAGCTGTAAGGCAGAAAAATTAATAGTCTCATAGAAAACAATATGCAATGTAGTAACAAATCGTGGGGAAATTGACATTTTACTTAGTTTCTCAGAACTATTTTAAATATAGAGTGTTAAAATTATCATTGAGTTTATTGAACTTATTTAACTTCTGCCAGAATTTAAAAATAAGTAAATCAAATGGAATGCCAAACTGTAATTGGATTTCTATTATATGTATTCTGTATAACATTGAGTTGCTCTGGGAATATTAGAGCTGATGTAATTAACCTGAGCTTCTCTTAAATGCCTTCCGGAGAGAAGCTGCAGAGAGAGTGGAGAGAACATGTCGCTAAGATTGCTTAGGATATACATAGCTTCCAAGTTCTTCTCAAAGTAGAAATCTATTTAACCACGATTCCAAGCAGGATATATCTCTTCACACCACAGCAGGGTTGTGACAGCCCCTCCCCGCCTCAACTTGCCCACTTGCAGGAAGCAATAACTCCACAGGGATTTCTTAGGTTGGAAAAGCGAAAACAGAAACAGGGACCCAGACTGCAGCAGAACTTAGTTGTGATCACACTGTTCAAGGGTTATCACTAGTTTCTCAATGATAAAGCATCATTAATTGGTGTTAGAACCATGTACTTATAATTTATTGTTTACAATGTGCACATTAAGCCAAATCTGCTTTTCTTCATAAGTGGCTAGCCTGTCATTTCTAACAATTTTTTAAGTCATTTCTAGACATTTTAAAAATACCCTTTCAGATATTGTTAAATATGGATACTGAAATCAGCTACAATTTACCTGAATGATGATTTGCATGATTCTGCTGACTAGAATAGCTAAAACCAAAAGTCTTTTAGAGTTGTATTTTGGAGAAATTTATTTCCATTCACATATGCTACAAACAGCAACTAGACCATGCATCAAATTATTCTTATTGCCAGCACCCTGTTTTAGTCATCAGTGAATTTAACATATTTGTCAAAATAATGTATAGATGAATTAATTTCTTCACATATAATATGTACATATATATATGACAAAGGCAGAAGTAGATTCAGATTTAGAATTTTATGGTCATATAAAATGATTATGTATTTGTTACTACCACTTGAAGGCCTCTGGGCGAGGAATACTCTAAGAATCTCAAATAAATTTGTTTTCTAAGAATTAAACTGTCAATTGTAATTGGAAAAGCTAGCCTATACTAAAAGCACCAGTACTTTTAAACTGTTAGATACAGTTGTTTGTGAGTTTCTAATTAAGCAATCAGAATAGAGTCCCCAACACATGACTTAAAAAACAGAAACATGATATGGGGAAGTTTAAAATGCAGATTCCCAGGTTCCTTTCCAATTGGTTCTGATTCAGTGGGTCAGGATGAAGCCAGGAAGCTGAATTATTAACATATTTGGTAATTTGGATGCTAGTACCTAGAACTTCACTTTGAAAAACCCTGATCTAAGCTAATGTAAGTTATATTTAAGTTATAGAAAGTTAATTTGGGTAGGGATCATCATGGCAGGAGGCAGGCAGGACTAGATTGCCTCTTCGGACAGAGCAGTGTGTGGGGGCTCACATTGTGAATTTTAGCTTCAGATCGACTGCAAGAACAAACCAGCAATCCCAAGAGGACCCACAGACCCTCTAAAGGATGCAGACTGCTCCTGCAGGACCTGGGAGACCCCAAACAAAACTGAGTTCTCCAACTGTGGAAGTGGGAAAGGGAGACACTCCTCTCCCAAACACACACTCCCACTGGAGAAGCTGAAGGTCTATTTACCAGAAAAGTTTCCAACTTTACCTGGAGCTGAGTCAATTTGGAGACCTGAGCAAAATACAGGAGTAGAGGAAGCAGCAGAAAGCCCCTGATAGCTCGCTAAGTCCTCTAGCAGGCCATTCCTGCCTGGCACCACAGGGATCCAACTGGAGAGGGGCAGGGGGAAATAACTACACAGGGAGAAGCAAATCTCTAGCTGAACTTTGCAACAATTTGAACAGGATGAGAAGCCTCCTGGCCAGAACTCGGGGGAGGGAGCAAATCCACTGTGTAGACTCCACAGGTTAGGGAAGAACCAAGCCCTTTTCTTTTGTACCTGGGAGGCAGGTAGCCTAGGCAGGTTTTCAAACTCATGCTCCCTGCCTGGAAACGGACTGGGGGATGTTGGGGGGGTGCCACAGTGTGAGTGAGACTGGCCCTTTGGTTTGTGTGGGAGTTGCGTGAGGCCTGTGACTGCTGGCTCTCCCCCACTTCCCTGACAACCTGCATGACTCAGCAGAGGCAGCCATAATCCTCCTAGGTAGACAACTCCAGTGACCTGGGAATCTCACCCCCATACCCCACAGCAGCCCCAGCAAGACCTGCCCAAGAAGAGTCTGAGCTCAGACATGCCTAGCCCCACCCCCACCTGATGGTCCTCCCCTATCCACCCTGGTAGCGAAGACAAAGGACATATAATCTTGGGAGTTCTAGAGCCCTGCCCACCACCAGTTCCTCCCCATACTACCACAGCTGATGCTGTGTGGAAAGCACCACCTCCTGGCAGGAGGTCAACCAGCACAAAAATAGAGCATTAAACCACCAAAGCTAAAAATCCTCATGGAGTCCATTGCATCACCCCCCACCACCTCCACTGGAACAGGCACTTGTATCCACAGCTGAGAGACCCAAAGACGGTTCACATCACAGGACTCTGTGCAGACAACCCCCAGTACCAGCTCAGAACTGGGTAGATTCGCTGGGCGGCTAGACCCAGAGGAGAGACAACAATACTGCAGTTTGGCTCACAGGACGTTACATCCATAGGAAAAGGGGGATAGTGTTACATCAAGGGAACACCACATGGGACAAAGATTCTGAGCAACAACCTTCAGCCCTAGACCTTCCCTGTGACAGAGGCTACCCAAATGAGAAGGAACCAGAAAACCAAGCTTGGTAATATTACAAAATGAGGCTCTTCAACACTCCCAAAAAATCACACTAGTTCACCAGCAATGAATCCAAACCAAGAAGAAATTGCTGATTTACCTGAAAAAGAATTCAGGAGGTTAGTTATTAAGCTGCTCAGGGAGGGACCAGAGAAAGGTAAAGTCCAATGCAAGGAAATCCAAAAAATGATACAAGAAGTGAAGGGAGAAATATTCAAGGAAATAGATAGCTTAAAGAAAAAAAAAACAATAAAAATTTCAGGAAACTTTGGAAATACTTTTAGAAATGCGAAATGCTCTGGAAAGTCTCACAAACAGAATTGAACAAGTAGAAGAAAGAAATTCAGAGCTCAAAGACAAGGTCTTCAAATTAACCCAAACCAACAAAGACAAAGAAAAAAGAATAAGAAAATATAAACAAGATCTCCAAGAAGTCTGGGATTATGTTAAACAACCAAAGCTAAGAAAATTGCTGTTCCTGAGGAAGAGGAGAATTCTAAAAGCTTGGAAAACATATTTAGGGGAATAATCAAGGAAAACTTCCCCAGCCTCTCTAGAGACCTAAACATCCAAATACAAGAAGCACAAAGAACACCTAGGAAAATCATCACAAACAGATCTCCACCTAAGCACATCATCATCAGGTTATCTAAAGTTAGGATGAAGGAAAGAATCTTAAGAGCTGTGAGACAGAAGCACCAGGTAACCTATAAAGGAAAACCTATCCGCAGATTTCTCAGCAGAAACAATATGAGCTAGAAAGGATTGGGGCCCTGTCTTCAGCCTCCTTAAACAAAACAATTATTAACCAAGAATTTTGTATCCAGTGAAACTAAGCATCATATATGAAGGAAAGATACAATCTTTTTCAGACAAACAAGTGCTGAGAGAATTCACCTTTACCAAGCCACTACTACGAGAACTGCTAAAAGGAGGTCTAAATCTTGAAATAAATCCTGGAAACACATCAAAACAGAACCTCTTTAAAGCATAAATCACACAGGACCTATAAAACAAAAATACACATTAAAAAGCAAAAACAAAAAACAAAGAAAACAAAGTACACAGGCAACAAAGAGCATGATGAATGCAATAGTGCCTCACATTCCAATGCTTAACATTGAATGTAAATGGCTTAAATGCTCCAATTAAAAGATACAGAACCGCAGAATGGATGAGAACTCACCAACCAACCATCTGCTGCCTTCAGGAGACTTGCCTAACACTTAAGGACTCACATAAACTAAAAGGGTTGGAAACAGGCATTTCATGCAAATGGACACTGAAAGCCAGCAGGTATAGCTATGTTTATATCAGACAAAATAAACTTCAAAACAACAGCAGTTCAAAGAGACAAAGAGGGACCTTATATAATGGTAAAAGGTCTTGTCTAACAGAAAAATATCACAATCCTAAACCTGTATGCCCCTAACACTGGAGGTCCCAAATTCATAAAACAATTATTAATAAACCTAAGAAATGAAACAGACAGCAATACAATAATAGTGGGGGACTTCAATACTCCACTGACAGCACTAGACAGGTCATCAAGACAGAAAGTCAACAAAGAAACAATGGATTTAAACTATACCCTGGAACAAATGGACTTAACAGATATGTACAGAATATTTCATGCAACAACTGCAGACTACACATTCTATTCAACAATGCATGGAACTTTCTGCAAGAGAGACCATGTGATAGTCCATAAAATGAGCCTCAATAAATTTAAGAAAATTAAAATTATATCAAGCACTCTCTCAGACCACAGTGGGATAAAAACTGGAAATTGACTCCAAAAATCAGCTCCAAAAAGATCCTTCAAAACCATGCAAACACTTGGAAATTAAAAAACCTGCTCTTGAAGGAGCATTGGGTCAAAAACAAAATCAAGAGGGAAATTTAAAAATTCTTCAAAATGAACAATAATGACACAACCTATCAAAACCTTTGAGATACAGCAAATGTGGTGCTAAGAGGAAAGTTCATGGCCCTAAACGCCTACATCAAAATGACTGAAAGAGTAAAAATTGACACTCTACGGTCGCACCTCAAGGAGCTAGAGAAACAAGAACAAACAAAACCCAAACCCAGCAGAAGACAGGAAATAACTAACAGCAGGGCAGAAATAAATGAAATTGAAACAAAAAAATTACAAAAGATAAATGAAAGAAAAACCTGGTTCTTTGAAAAGATAAATAAAATTGATAGACCATTGGCAAGAGTAGCCAAGAAAAGAAGAGAGAAAATCCAAATAACGTCACTAAGAAACGAAATGGGAGATATTACAACTGACACTACTGAAATACAAAAGATTATTCAAGGCTATTAGGAACACCTTTATGCACATAAACTAGAAAACCTAGAGACAGATAAACTCCTGGAAAAATACAACCCTCTTAGCTTAAATCAGGAAGAATTAGATACACTGAAAAGACCAATAGCAAGCAACAAGATTGAAATGGTAATTTTAAAAATGCCAACAAGAAAATGTCCAGGACCAGATGGATTCACATCAGATTTCTACCAGACATTCAAAGAATTGGTACCAATCCTTCTGACACTATTCCATAGGATAGAGAAAGAAGGAACCCTCTCTATTTCATTCTATGAAGCCAGCATCACCCTAATATCAAAACCAGGATATGATATAACCAAAAAAGAAAACTACAGATAAATATATTTGATGAACATAGATGCCAAAATACCTAACAGAATACTAGCTAACCAAATCCAACAACATATCGAAAGATAATCTACCATGATCAAGTGTGTTTCATACCAGGGATGCAGGGGTGGTTTAACGTATACAAGTCAGTAAATGTGATATACCACATGAACAGAATTAGAAACAAAGATCACATGATCATTTCAATAGATGCAGTAAAAGCATTCAACAAAATCCAGAATTCCTTTATTATTGAAACTCTCAGCAAAATTGGCATACAAGAGACATACCTTAAAGTAATAAAAATCATCTGTGACAAACCCACAGCCAACATAATACTGAATGGGGAAAAGTTGAAAGCATTACCTCTGAGAACTGGAACAAGACAAGGATGCCCACTCTCACCACACCTCTTCAACATAGTACTGGAAAGTCCTAGCCAGAGCAATCACACAAGAGAAAGAAAGAAAGGACATCCAAATCGGTAAAGATGATGTCAAACTGTCACTGTTCACTGACGATATGATTGTTTACCTTGAAGACCCTAAGGACTCCTCCAGAAAGCTCCTAGAACTGATAAAAGAATTCAGCAAAGTTTCTGGATACAAGATTAATTTACACAAATCAGTAGCTCTTCTATACACCAACAGCAATCAGGAGAAGAGTCAAATCAAGAACTCAACACCTTTTACAATAGTCACAAAAAAAATACTTAGGAATATACATATTCCTAAGAAGTCAAAAGACTTCTACAAGGAACACTACAAAACAATACTAAAAGAAAGCATAAATGACACACAAAAAAATGGTAACAAATTCCTTATTCATGGATGGGTAGAATCAATATTGTGAAAATGACCATACTGCCAAAAGCAATTTACAAATTCAATGAAATCCCCATCAAAATACTATCATCATTCTTCACAGAATTAGAAAAAACACTTCTAAAACTCATATGGAACCAAAAAAGAGCCCTCATAGCCAAAGCAAGACTAAGCAAAAAGAACAAATCTGGAAGCATCACACTATCTGATTTCAAACTATACAATAAGGCTATAGTCACCAAAACAGCCTGGTACTGTCCTAAATAGGCACATAGACCAATGGAACAGAAATAAACCCAAATACTTACAGCCAACTGATTTTTGACATAGCAAACAAAAACATAAAGTGGGGAGAGGACACCCTTTTCAACAAATGGTGCTGGGATAATTGGCTAGCCACATGTAGGAGAATGAAACTGGATCCTCATCTCACCTTATACAAAAATCACCTGAAGATGGAATAAAGAATTAAACCTAAGGCTTGAAACTATAAAAATTCTAGAAGATAACATTGGAAAAAACTTTCTAGACATTGGCTTAGGCAAGGATTTCATGACCAAGAACCTTAAAGCAAATGTAATAAAAACAAAGATAAACAGATACCACCTGTACTCCAATAACTTACGGGAAAAAAAACTTATAATAAAACTGTGGCCTAAAAAATTACATTAACATATCTACAGAAGTAAAATAAGACATCACAAGAAAATAGCACAGGCCCCTGGTAAATGGAAAAAAGATGCAAAATTGCTGAGTCCATAGAAGTTTCCAAGGGAGATACAAGAGTTGGCCAAAGCTGCCTTAAATGTTTTTGGCTTCATTGTTAAAAACCTTTCCACATGAAAGGACATTTCTTAAACCACCTAATTGTAATGTTGCCTGCTATCTCTTTATCTGGGATCCTTTACTTACAAAACCACATTTTATTATAAATTGCCTTCATATTAAATGGACTAGCTTGCTTTTGAGAAGATGATGTCTATTATTTCTCATTGCAAATACATTGGTATTCTAGGATTTCTTACGATGTACATTGGAATCTATCTTGATCTTACATATGTTTTGATTACTCAGTGCTTGAGCTCTCCAGGGCACTGAAGACCACCTACCAAGTACCTTAATAAAATCAAAACTCAATATGTTTTCCTTTAATATTGAACAGACTTTCCATGTGAACATTCTTGGAGATCCACTGGGCTCTTGAACTGCCTTTGTTATTCACTACAGCTTCATTAACATGACCTTAAGGAGTTGCTTTTTCTGGATAAGTACGCTTTCTTTAATTATCTGTAGAAGATTTTAGAAGATGCTAGAAATTATAAATCATGTTATTTAAGAGTCTCAAGAATTAAAAAAGGAAATAACTGTAGAGTAACACACAACTAGATAATTTCACAATATAATACAATTGACACATCTTCCTCTTGCAATGATCCTCAAATTTTAATGTATATATGAATCACTTATGGGTCTTGTTATTTGTGGATTCTCAATCATTAGGGCTTAGGGCCTAAGATTCTGTATTTATAAGATCCCAAATGGCGTTATTACATCATAAACCACACTTCTGAGTACAAGGGTCAAAGTACCTTCCTCTCTATCTGTCCCTATCTTTCTCTCTGTTTCTGTCCCCTCTCTATACCTCCTCTCTGTCTCTGTCTGTCTATTCATCTATTCCTTCCTCTCTCCCTCCCTCTCTCTCTACATGTATGTAGCAAATGTCATCTTTCTCCCATAACCAGAAATTCCATTAAGCACATTCAGATTGTTTATATCCTTAGGCTAGAAAGCAGGGCCCGGAGAGAGTTAGAAGTCTCTCTCCTGGTTATCTAAGCACTGATTTCTAAGCTTTCTGGTCTTACAGATTCTCTTCCTGTGATAATTAGCAGCATATGGAGATATAGCCTTAACCATACACCACTGTGATGATATTAGAATAGAACATAATAAGCTTAGCATCCATATGAGAGAGGAATGAATACACAACTGCAGTGAGAATATTTTCTTTTGCAGACACTGAAAAGATTCAGTATTCTATGTGTTGTTCTCTAAGCTCATTTCTCCTTTTTCATTCTTCATTTTTAGTAAAATCTTATTTTCTAACCAAAGTGTGATTTGATGAGTTTCAACTCCAACGATCATTCACTGTGCATTCAAATACTTATAATATTTCTTTGTAGTGAATAAGTATGAATAAGCAGTGTGGTCCACAGTTACCCAAATAAACAAACATTTTAACTAAATAATTTTGTTTCATGCTTTTGTGTACTCAAGAAATTTTAAGCTGTTTTTAATCGTTTATAAGAAATATGAAAAATGATAATTTCTATGGTTAAGACAGCAAAATTTCCCAATTCATATAAGTAAGCTACGTAAGGTGCCCATTCTGGCTTTTGGGTGGGTCAAAAGCCAATACCACTTCTCTTCTTTTATCACTTCCTAACTTCAAACAGATCAAAGATCAGCCTGCAGGAAATGAAAAGAGAGAAACAGAAATAAAATAATTTAAGACATGCTATGCAGTAAATGGGAAAAAAATGAAAAGTCTGAATCTAGTCAGTGTTTCACTGTGTTAATTGCTTTGCTTCCCCATCAAGAGGTTCTGATGTCTTGTACTATACAATGGTGAAGCTTACCCTTGAACCTGGACAAACATTGAAAAAATCTGGATTAGAAGGTGTTAAAGATAATTAACCTCTAATTGAATGTTCTCAGTTATGTAATGCAAGCCCTGAAAGAGCTTTCAAAGGAGGAAATACTATGAAAACTGCCAGAATATTTCTCTGAAAAAATACCAGCAAAATTTCCTTCCTGGGGCTCCCTGGAACACGATTTCAATGGAAGACACACCAGGTCTGAGGGCATTCAGGTAAGGCAGTCCATCCAAGGGGCTCTTTCACATGAGTATTCATTTTAGTTCTTGTGTAATTGACCTGACAGGTGAGGTGGGGAGCAGGCGAGTCATACTAACTCATTTTGCTTTTGAAAAATCTGTCTGGAATTCTCACCCAGGACCTGGGGCAGAGGTTACTAGGGGTTACCTGGAAGGAAAGATCTCTAAATGCTGCCATACACTTGGCGGATCTACTATTTCATAATTTTTAAGTAAAGACTTTGAACTTTTGTCAGATATCTTGGAAGAGGGGGCTGCAAAAAAGAAATCATTGTTGTTGTTTTCTTTTAATGCATAAAATGCATCAGCTCATGATTTTTAGTTCATGCTTGTCTCCTGGGACTGTTGCGAAAGAATAGGTGGAGGATATGGGGTTCCTGCACTTCATATAAAATAAGCGAGGTCAGATCAAGAGGACTGTGGAAAGGATCAACTTTTTCCTTTTGCATTTTTTATGGAAAAATTTATAACGTACTCTTCCTCATCAGTTAATAGATTTTCTTTACAAACTTATGAAGTTTGGGGATTTTAATAGATTCTAGAAAAAAAGAACAAAATGTGCATTTGTTTTGATCAGAATCAATGAAAGGGGAGAAACAAATAAGTAGAAAAGCAGACTTTATTTTAGGAGATTTGGTTGGAGACTAAAAAGGATTTAGAGTAGAATAAAAGAAAAATGGTATTCTATTTTCTCTTTGAGTTTTTAAAATTCATCCACTACTTTAGATTCTCATCCCATGCTGATTATCTCATAAGATGTTGGGGATAACTGGACTGAATAAACTAACTTTTCAATGGTTCTCAGTAAATAAATATTTTTTAAGTGAGAGAAAAATACAAAGATTCTCATTAGTGGTGATGATGATGACAATAATTATTAATATTATTAAGGGCTCACTACCCGTAAGAAACTTGCAAAATATTTTCTATGAATATGTAATTTAATTCTTAACAAGAACCATAAAATATCTATTACCCTATTTCATAAATAAGAAAACTGAGACCAGAGAGATTAAAAAGTGATGTTGAGGAGGCCGCTCCGTCAACTCCAAAATTGGTAGTTGATAAAATTATATAATTTTTTACTATTATTCTCTCTTTACATTTCCTCTTTCCTCATCCGATATACCAAGCATCTTCTGTGTACTCTCTTTATTATTTACTAAATGCATCTTCATCTTCTCTTTTTCCAATTCTACTGGGGCTTCTTGCAGAGTTATACAGACAACAAAATAGATCTGTTTTCACTGACAACAGTGATTTGTTAATTTCCTTAAATTATAATAATTGATTATAATATTGTGTATAATTAATATATTGATGTGTACTAGGTAAAGAAGAAAATCAATGAGCAAGTAAATGATAGACTCTAATCCTTCAATTTAATATTAATTCTCATGTTAAACCTTACTAATGTTTTCAGAATTTTTATATTTTTGGGGATCTAGGAACACATGTATTCTATAAAATACATGCAGGACCTAGATTGTAGATCATCACTAGGTATTCAATTATACTAGACAATCAAATCTTAGTGAGAATTTTGAAGAGGTAAATTAAACATCAGGCAACTAAACAGTCTTTAGCATAGCTTTCAACTCTAAGTTATTTGGATTAGAAAATTCACAGTTTAAGAATCATTATTTTATTATTTCATTTAATTTTTCATTTTTATTAACTAAGAACTTGGTTTCCACAGAGCCTTATGGCATATATCATTTTGAAATTCAAGAAAATGTTTAACTAATATTTCACATCAAGAAATCAAGAGTGATTGTTTTTTTTTGTTTTTTTCTCTTTTCTTCTAGGATTCAGTTCACAGCTATTTATTTATCATTTAAATGCATTCAACTGAAAGAGAACATTTTCCTGCTGAATATAGGAACCGTCAAAGATAAATATGGGCTGATGTTTTTCGTGCCTGCTAACATTGGGTCTAGATTTATCTACCTTGAAAGACATGCCATTTGTCAAAGGCTTGTTTAGCATGAAAAATCCTCTATGGCCAGTATTAGTTATGTTCAGTCATTCTTGCTTCATGTGTGCTGGACACTGGGGAAAGCAAGGGAGAGAATCTTCATAAACCAAAGCACACTAGCCTTTTATTTGAATGACAGCTATAATAACTACTCACACAAATATAATTTTTAAAGACATTTATATATTAATTTGGATTGAATGTCTTCGCTGTGCTTGAGACATCCTAAGTGTGTATATAGGGGGTATATGTATGTGTGTGTGCACATGTGTGTACGTGTTCCGATGGAGAAAAAGCACTGGAATATCTCTCTCATTATTTAAATTGCTTGTGAACTTTCATTCCTTTCACTAAACTGTTCCAATTTATGAGACCATTTCCCACTGCCCTGACAAATCTGAGTTTGCATTGTTAGCCTTTTCCTTGATATCCACTGAATTTTTGTTCTTGCTTTGTTTCTCAAACATGCACAAAAATGCAATTATTATTTATTCATTTTATTACTGCATACTTGTGTATTTGCTTATTTATTAAATTGTTTATTTATTTAAGGCACGCACTTGATAAAAAGCATTTAAACTGGTAACAAAGGATGCACTAGAGTTTGCCTCCCATCTCAAACCTAGTATCATTGATGCTTCAGAGAAGATATTCTTGCATATATTGATGTACATATATCTGTATTTGTATGTGCATATTTTCCAGATAAATTTCAATAACTTGAATTGTTAGATTAAAATGTTCGAATGTTTTAGATATTGTCAAATTACTCTCTAAAGACTTTGTATTGTATTTTATTACCATCTAGAGGATATTTTTTTAATCAATGATATCTCATTAGGCATTGTAATTTTTGTCAATCATACAAGTAAAATTTACTGTTCATGATTTAAACATAATTGCATTTTGAAATTATGCATAAGATTAAGCTTATTTTCATATGTTTATAAGCCATTTTTTCCCCATGAACTGCTTATTCTCATTATTTCCTGATTGATTAATTTGTGTATTGGTCTTTCTCACTACTTATAAAAGATCTTTCTATAATAAAGCCATTTGTCTGTTTGTTACATTTCTTTTTCCTAGTTTGCCATTTGTGTTTTGAATATATGTATTTATTAATTTTCACATTTCCATGTAAAAACATTTGGTTTCCATGTGACCAAATTTCTTTTTATTATTCAGCTTCTAGATTTTGGTCCTTAGTTTGAAAGGGCTTCTACAAAATAAGAAACGTTTTGAATTTTAATGTTTTTAATATGGTCCTTAATTCTTAAAATTTGGTTTTAAAATCCTTTTAAGTCTAAGCACAATTTAAATGATACAGATTTTCTTAAATTCCATTCTGTGTGTTTCATTTCCTATTTCTGTTACTAATTTTATTACTTTGTTTTTTTTTCTTCAGAAAACGTAATCTCTATAAGGTTGCTGTATTAGACGTTGATTTGGATATTTTGCTGTGACCTAATACATGGTCACTTTATAATAGTCCAAAGCCACTTGACATACAGAACTCTTATCTGATTTCAATATAAAATATATGATGTCTTCAGTAAAGTATGCCTACAGCTTTGGAAGTTATATTTTTCCTTCTACTAGACTCGGTTGTTTCAATCATTAATTTTGAGTCAAAGTTACTTGTTTCACAAATTTTTGTCTTCTCCTTGTATGCTTTTGCAGAGATCTATGGAGCTCATAGTTAAGCTCTGTAGATTATAATTGTGTGTCTGTGTGTGTTTTGACACAGCATTCACTTTTCTTTTAGCTAATGTAGTTAACAATGCAAATCTGATTGCCATTGACTACTTTTCCATTCCTTTGCCACAGAGATATTCTGTTTCCTGAAAAGGTGTCATGTCAAGCAGTTCATCCTTCAACCTCACAGTGTTAGCAACTCTGTCACACAAAGGGGCCAGGGTGCTCCTGAAAACCATCCATACTTGTACACACACTCATTTGCTACTGCAAGCAGTGATGAACAGGGGTAATATTTATTCTGTTCAGGAGTCTCAGCTTTGGAAAAGTCTTCACGCAGTAAAATTTTAGAATTTACTGGGTGAATTTACTCTCAGTACCCTCTCTTGACCTGTTCAAATTTCACAAAGGCGGCTTTGCTTCACAATTTGTAATTTAGTTGCTGATCAGTTTTCTAGTTATTCTGGAGATGAAGTTGTCTGTCTTTAAAATTTTTTGTTGTTGTTTCTTTATATCAGAGAAGAGGGGGATTACTGGCTTTCTTTCTGCCACAATTTCTAACTGGAACAAGAATGTTCTTGTTCTTCCTCTGAGCTTGAGCGTATTGACTTATATTTTTTAATTTTTCCTGGCTCAGGGCTTCTAAACAAACAGGAATGATGTTTATATGTTTTACTTATAAAATTTAACAATGTGTTCACAGCCCCAACTTTGATTGCATAATGCACGTTGTCCCTTTAGAAAGAAGATTATTCAGAATACAGGACTTCGGCGATTGTGACATCTCAAATAGGAGATGAATATGTGGAAGCAAAAAAAGATAGGGTGATTTGTTTAGACACAAAGACGTGGGACTCAAGGACCTTGCCTGTTTATTATGGATAAGCAAAAAAAAAAGAAAAGTAACTTGTCTCCATGAGTACCTGTTCTCAAAAAGTGAATGAAGTGAATGTCCTAGAATTCTTAAGTGAGAAATCCCCATATAGTTATAATGTGGAGGTATCTTTATTGACATTACCTATTCTGGCCACTTAATGAGATGAGTATACTCTAGGTATGAAAATTTAGACCCTAGAAACCTCTATAACAAGTGAGATTATGGTAAAAAAAAAAAAAGTTATTTTTGAGTTGCCAAGAAGTGGAGTAAAATTATCATTAATAAAGACTCTCCTGAATTTTACCAAAACCTTATAACTTTCTTGGCTACCTTGGGCATACCATTAGTGAGTGACCATGTTCCTGTGTGAGAAACTGATCTTTGCTGCTAGAAAATGATGATAAAAGATTCTGAAGAGCAATTGAAAAGTCCTGTCTCCTCCATAATCATTTAAAATGGAAGCTAAGGCCTTCATCACTGTATAATTTTTTACAGGTCTGTAGTACCACTGCAGACTCTAAGGAAAAATAAAGCTGAAAAACTGTTTACAGCCTTTCAAAAGGTGCTAATCTAGAAGTTCCTAGGGGTCTTGATCAACTTTAGGACATGTCAGTATACCTAATCATTCTTACTTGTTTCACTTCAAGGAAAGAAAATTGTTCCCCAACTAAAAAAAAAAAATGCATATTTTTGAGTTGACCAGTCACTTGTCACTTCACTTTGGGACAAAGAAAGGAGGAATATCAGCTTCGTATCCATAAGATTATTTTTGTTGGTCAGATTTCATTTTTTAATTTGCATATTGGAACTTACCAAACAATATTTGAAAAGGAAGCCCGAAGTATGAACAATAAGAGGAAAATGTGATGTTTGATATGGACGTGAAGGCAGGGCAGAATTCCAAGGACTCAGCTACTGAGATTTTCCTTCTCTGTTTCCATGTTAGCCCTTAGACAATCTCATTGAAATTCTAGCACTCTATCAGAGTGCTATTTTAAGTCTACTGTCTTTTCAGATGAAGCACAGCTTTACTATTCTTGGTATTAGGGTAGTGTAGTGTGTCAAGTAGATTTGTCCATATCCGACATTCAAAAGATATGTCCACAGCCTAATCCGCAGAACCTGTAAGTGTGACCTTATTTGGAAGAAAGATCTTTGCAGAAGTAATTAAATTAAGAATATCAAGATGAGATTGTCCTGGATTATCTAGATGGACCTTAAATCCAGTGATAAGTGTCCTTATAAGAGGCACACAGAAGACAGAACTACAGACAGAAGAGGAGAAGTGAAGACAGAGGCAGAGATTAGAGTTATGTGGCTGCAAGTCAAGGGTCATCTGGATCCACAAGAAGGTGGAAGAAGAAAGAAAGTATTCTCCTTGAAATCTTTGGAGGGAGGTAATGAAGCCCATTGATGCCTTGATTTCAGACTTGTGGTCTATAGAACTTTGAGAAAATAAACTTCTGTTTTAAGTCACCTAGTTTGAGGTAATTTCTTACAGAAACCACACAAAATTAATAAGGGTGGATACATTTATTACTGTAAAATAATTTACTAGAGGTTACCAGAATAGCATCTTTGCTTATGGCTACAGTGACCAGTGAATACAAGAGTAGAAAAAAGCCCGTCTTTCATCAAATCATGACTAAAGATATTATGTATCAGGGCACTCTTCGAGGGACCCACTGAGAAACAAATATTTTAAGTTCCTACTCTTGTGAAATTTGCATTCTAGGGGATATCACTAAATATCAATTTTTCATAATAGTACATTGAACTTTGAAACATTGTTTTAAAATATCTTTTGACAGATATCATTAATATGTAGAAAAGAATCCTTTGTAAGCTAATGCAATACTTCCATGTGACCCTTTTCTTAGTTTTAAAGAATTTTAAAGGTCTAAGCAACCTAATGTATGGCTGTATGTTTTTCACAGGACTCCATATGTGAGAAGTTGCATTATTTATTTAATTATTTTCTAATAAATTGCCATGTCTTCAGAAAACATGTGGGAAAAAAAGATTTTTTTTTAAAAAAGCAGCTGATAATTAAATACTAGAATAGATGAAAATAAAAATTTATGATGTGACTAAGTGTAAGGGTATGAGGTTATTAGAAAAAATGTTGAATTGAGAGTTTTTCCGGGAGCATTTTAAGTTTTTATTTTCTTTTTATTCATGCCAAGCAACCTCAGGCAATTGAGACTCAAGAGTTTTTGTGGTATGAACTATTAGGCTATAACTTAGTGAACTAAAACACAGCATATGGCAATTAGTGGCGTGTGGTTTCCTTTAAGCTATTCATTTGGCCAGTGTAACAGGAGCACCTAAATTCCTTCAACTTATCATAATTTGATACAGTGGAGGGGTTCCAAGGAAAAGAAGGGCATTAATGAGAGAATTGCTCTAAATGTGTCAGTACTCAAATGGGAAGGAGGAGGATCAAGAGGTAAGAGCAGAGAACCTTGCCACACAATGCAAATTAGACACAGAAAACCAAGAGCCAGGAAAGAGCTATGATCCAAGGAAATAAAAGTTCTTGGGCATCAGAGACTCTTCAAAAGTCTTTTGACCCATTAACCTTTACCATTTCACATATTCATTTCACGAAGTATAAAAGGTGTTTCTTGTATGTTCTTGCGGAAGGGCTGAGTAGCTGTGGATTGTTCTCCTATATGGAAATTCTAGAGGATTTGTTCTTCCATTTTCTAAGTTGGGTTTTCTGAAAAATATTATAATTGGAAGCCTGAAAGACATCCTTAGGGCATTAGGATGAAATCTTGTATGGAATAATTGCCTAAGAGAGATCAGATCCTGCCATACTTAGCTGAAAAGTTCTCTTCCTTTTGTAAAGCATCATAGTATCAAATTTTCCTCTAATGTTTATGTAAATCTTAGAATGGTATGGACCCTCTATTCAGTTATCAACCTAAATCTACAGTGAATCACATTTGCATTTTGAAAATATGATTGTTTCTATAATCAAAACCATAGTAGTTATTTTAAAAAGAAAGACTTTAACTGTATTTTTTACTCTTTCTTATTATAAATTCATGAAAATACTACTACTAATAATGTGATATTATTCATTGAGCCCATGTGCTAGATACTGTGCTAAGTGATTTACATGCTTATTCTTTTTATCTTCAAAGTGATCTTGCTAGGTGGGTATTATTGCTAGGCTATTTGTTTACTATTTTTCCTCAGTTATAGCA
This sequence comes from Homo sapiens, assembly GCF_000001405.40. Taxonomy (NCBI): domain Eukaryota; kingdom Metazoa; phylum Chordata; class Mammalia; order Primates; family Hominidae; genus Homo; species Homo sapiens. The sequence continues at coordinate 92,179,358 of NC_000006.12, read as the reverse complement.
TAATCCACTTTCTTAAACTGAAATATATATGTTTATAAATCTGTTCATTTTTTCTGCTGTTTTATTTAATAATGGGGAATATGATACCTGTATAGAAAATGATGAAAAAAATAGCCTGAGAAAATACCATATGCATTTATATTGCTTATAACTTGCTGATGACCTTATTTCATAATTTTAATCATTTAAATAAAATTACTTACATATCTCAAATAAAACAAACACAAAAAATCATTTGTATTTTGTGGTTCTCACAAAGACTTTGCCTATGTTTCCTATTTTATTCCATTGCTTAGTTTAGGAAGCTGGCTTGCATACTAATGATACTGTGAATGCAACTTTCTGGTGTCTTTTGGTTTTCATCATTCATTATTGATGCAATATTTTTGCTATGTTTTTCTTTCATTCTCAATGTTGATGGTCTACAAAGAACTATGCTTTAAAGGTCCATCAGTGTAATTGTACAATTACATTTATCTACTCTGAACTGCCTTGGACAGTCATTAGTCTTCTAAGGGTTAGAGCTTTATGATGTCTGCTTATATTCTTTCTCATTATGTACTGTGTATTTGTAACCCATTCCTTTGAATTCAGTTATAAATCATAATATTCTAGTCTAAACAAGAACATGATATATAATCACTAGAGAAGATCAATCCCATTTTTTACAGTATTTTAGTGAAAATGTGTATTGAATTTTTGGGTAAGATGTATTCATTTTTTGAAACAAGAGAAAATGGTCATAAAAAGAGAATAAATAAATGAATTTTTCATGAAATTGTATAACTAAACATTAATATTTAATAAATATTATATTATGTATATATGTATGTATGTGGTATGTGTGTATATATATATACGTGTATGTATGTTTGTATATATATTTATAAAGTAATCCTATCTCCTATATAAAACAAATACTTTATTTCTTTGAGAAATTGGAATTTCCCTCTCTTTGGTCTGAAATTGTAGACTCTAGAGGATCAATAAATTAATCACATTTAAATCCTGCTTAATTAGATCCCTAAATAAAGGTATGAAATTGAAAATAAATAAATGCCTATTATGTGCTCAGTAAGGTACTGTGGTGGTTAAATATAAGACGTGACCTCAGGCAACAAATTGGCTGGGAAGAAAAGCCTAACAGTTAAAGTCTTCTTATCACTAACTCTGAGGAAAAATAAAAGCTAGCTTAATTAAATGTATCCTATGTGACAAGTTCATTGCTAAACAGCTAGTCCTGTCATCTCATAGAACCCTCTTAATAGAAAAATGTCACAAGGACTCAGGGAACAATAAAGAAACTGCTTGTCAAGAAAAATTTGTATTATATAGGTACCTAAACGGGGCCAGCAGAGGAAGGCCAGGTGGGAGATTTTGACCCAGTGCATGAGAAGGATGCCACTTGGCTCCACATTCAGGAAAATGAACGTAGTGCTTTGGAGAATAAGTTGGTTCTTTTGAGATTCTCTGGAATGGTAGAGTGAATGCAGTGAAATCATTATAGTCAAAGGGAATTCATGGTGGCTTGGTATACAATGGAGGCAATGGAAACAGGGAGAAGGAAACATCAAGTTAAGTCAAGAGTTTGTTTAACTTGATCTCTTATAGGAAAGAAGAATAGGAAAGTGTTCCAAATTATTTCTAAGAAGCATAGTCATTTTAAAAAACGTAGATATGCTTCTAATGGTATATGTGTTGTAGTTAGTTGATTATGAGGAGGGGGGAGATAGGAGAAATAAGATAACAAACTCTGTTGTGACAATGTAGAGATTACTTTGATGATAGAAGACTCAAATGGAAATCTCCAATGGGTATTTAGATCTGAGGGAGTGAGTGAGTGTATGTATTTGTGTGTGTGTGTGTGTGTCTATAATAGTAATAGTGGAAGCCAGAAAAATATGCAAAATGGAGAATTTATAAAGAGCAGAGTAGGAACAACTAGAAACACCAAAAGAATGCCCACCCAAGTTTGAAATGGGATAAAAATATGAAAGTAAACAATGGAATCAAATTTGCAGCCCAAGAAGATAAAGCAGAATATGTATGGCTTTATTGCCTTTTCTGGTTTTCTGCAGACATTTAAACACACATTGATTCAATTAACATTTTTTCAGAGTGTGTTCTCTAAGCCCTTATATGGTAAGCATTTGTAAGCATTTGTAAACATTCTATTTAGTAAGCAATTAGGTCTTAGGGATTTTAATAGAATGGGAACTAGGTTTGTCTGGTGTACAGTTCAAAACAGGCAACTTCATGTTTTGTGAGTGCATCGCTTTACTTTCTCTCTATATTTGTAATATCTGATATTCACAAACTTATTCACAAAATAGTTCTACCAAATTCTGTTTTAGATACAAATAAAAAGCACATTTTTTATCTCTGATGGGAACTTTCTGTAAGTATTGACTGTCAGAATTTGGCCTGAAGTGCATGTCCCATAAGCAAGAGGATAATCCAACTAGAATTTTGGCTCAAAAAATCGTCTCACACAGACCCAAATAATGTATTTTTTCTGCCCAGAATTATGAGGTGTCATACACTTTCTCTCTGATACTCTTTGGAAAAAGCCAGACACATTTCTCTGATGACATGTTTCTTGGATAAATGCTCAACTGTTCAGGTTTCTAGACTAGTTCTTTAAAATGTAGCTCTACAGAACATTTAAATTCATTTTTACAATTTGATTTTTCTTCAACGAATACTCATCTGCTCCTTTTCTTCTTGATTGAGTGGTTATGAGATTCTTTATTTCCTGAAAGTTTAAAACTGTTAATATATATTTATATATGTCATTTATATGACATATGATATGCATACATAATATACATAGATATAGATATCTATGTTGCTTTATTTACAGTGTTTGCCTTATGAATGATGAGTCCTTGCAATCTACATATGAGATTCTTTTCAGGTCAGCAAACCTTTCTTCTGCTGTATCTCTGAATATTGTTTCTGTGCCATGCCACTTATTCTATTATCTCAATAATAAAAATTATTAGAATATTGAAACTCAGTTTCTAAATTGAGTTTCCAATTTCCTCTTTTCCAAAGCTGTCATCTTTTCGCTGAAAATTGTCATTTGTTTCTCCTCTTTATGTGCTGAAAGAGGCTTTCAAAGCCCTCCTCAGCACTGATTTAATGTGTTGTGTTTACTCTTCTCTTTATGGTTTTAATATTTTAAAATGTGTATTATTTCTTTTCTTATACCTTTTTAAATCTCTACCCTCTAACCTTTTAGTTCCCAATAAGCTCTTTGTGTTTTCATCTTTGGACACTTACTCATGAGTTACATGCTTTCATTCCTTCCTCTCCCACTCCACTACCAAGTACTATTTAAAATCTACTCTTTTTCTTCCCACGTCATATTTCTTTTCTTTCTTTCTTCCCTCTTTCTCTTTCTTTCTTTCTTTCTTTCATCTTTCTTCCTTTTTTTTTTTTCCCCTGGGACATCCTTTGAGCCTTCCTCAGAGATGCATTTCCTGATGCCAGTGTGAAGTGTGGTGGGCTGAGGCCAGACCACCTGGATTCAAAGTCTTGGTCTGTCACAGACTACCTCTGTGACTGCAAAAGTTCACTTAATTGTCCTTTACTTCAGTTTCCTCATCTATCAGATGAAAATAATAACTATAACTTTCATAGCTTTGCCATGAGGAAGTAATACATATAAGGCACTTCAAATTGTCACAGACACAAAGCACTTGACAAATTTGAACTTCTACTGCTCTCAGTTACTAGTCTGAATGGATGGTTGATGTAGACTTGCATGTTATCAGTTCTGACCATTAGCCTAAGGGACATAAAGAGATTGCTGACATTTGGAAAATCCCAATAGAACCCCATTTCTGCACAACTTCTCTTCTGTGTTTGCTGAAACTGTCATGTAAGAAGCTTGCTTTATTGGATATATTATCTGCTCAATTTTGCTTTAATGCCATTCATGTGACATGGTGCTGTTAGTCTCTGTTGTGCAGTGCTTGCACACTGAGCCCTGATGCAATGGGAGAGAGGAAAAGAGGTGAGAAGAAGGTTGCCTATTGCACTGGAGAGAGTCATAAAGTTCAGGAAAGATGCCTGGCACCTTGTAGAGAGAGGAGGTGTTACAGTAGGCAATCAGTCAGACATGATCAGTGCAGGAGAGGGGCCCCCCCCACCACCACCAGGAATATCAGGTGACCAACAGGTGATGGTCAGGCAGTTGTTAAGCTGTCACTCTAACATAATAACTGATTACAGCTGGCACTGTAAGGTGGTCTCCCAGTAGACAGAAAAAATCCTTAAACTTGTGATCGGCAGCTTCCCAACAGGATCACAGGAGCTGGGTAAGAGGACTCCAGTATGTTCACTAAGAGGCAATATGGTAGAGTTTAACTGGTATATGAGCACTCCATTGTTAAGGGAAAAATGCCTCAAGTGAGCATGCACACAACTTCAGTAAACACACTGCTCATCGGGCCCCTCCCAAGTGCTGGCAGGCCCCTGTGCGTGCTGAGTGCCAATGTATAAAACTCCAAGTCGAAGGTCAAACCATACACTTGATCTCGTAAGTTGCCTGCTTGGCCCTCTTCCAAGTGTGCTTTATTTCCTTTTATTCCTTCTCTAAAGCTTTTTAATAAATTTTCACTCCTGCTCTAAAACTTGCATCAGTGTCTCACTGTGTCTTATGCCTCTCAGTCAAAGTCTTTCTTCTGAGGAGGCAAGAACTGAGGTTGCTGCAGACCTGTATGGAGTCACCGTTACTGACATACTTTGGTGCTGCATGACTTGGATGCATTCCCCAGTGGTAACAGAGGCACCCTCTGTACTAGAAAGAAGTAGTACTAAGATTTTATATGACTAATTTTTCTTTTTAGGATACAGTGCTCCAAATTTTGCTGATCAATATTATTTTTTCAAAAGAGACATAAATGTCATTTTCCCTTCTGCCTCAGCATAAGTATTTGCCTGCAGTGCCCAAAAAATTAGTATAGAAACGAACATAGGTAAGAATGCTCATGAACAAAAATTTTGAGTACGCTATGTATCATTTCTTAAAAAAGTTATTTCCTATGCAGAATATATAAAGTAAGTACTTCAAAATTTTTTATTTGTACAAAGCCTTGCTAATCTTTTACTAACTTTGCTGAATTAAAATTCCTACATTTTTTTCCCTTTAGTCATTTTGCTTTTATTCCAGGAAAAAAAAATAAATGCCTTTTCTCATGAGGTCAGTCCTGTCAAACGATACACAATATGTATTTCAAATCAATTTCTTTCATTCTGCCTTGACTGCCCCTTCCCCTTCCCACCGCTGAAAAAGCCATCATTTCTCTTGTAAACTACTGCAGGAAGAACTAGTCTAGAGTCTCCACTGTACTTATGCCCTCATTGTTACAAGAATATCAGAGTCACCTGTAAACATGGGTATTGGGCTCTACCACTTCCCAGCTTATAACCCTTTCTGAATTTATTTTCTAAGATTCTTCCAATGTTCCAACCACACAGGCTCCTTAAAACTCAAGGCCTACATACTTGTTTTTTTTTCTTTTCTTTACAGAAAGGTTTTTGTGATCTCATCTGCCCTTCCCCACACTTCTCCCTTTGCCTGCTATAACTTGTGACTCTTCACTCAAGACTAGTTTTCAGGTCCTATGTTTTACTAATACTCATGCTTTTTCTTTATAGGCTTATCCCAATTTTAACATATGATTTTTACGTAATTATTGGTTTCTTTATTCTTTTCATCCAAAAAGATATGTAAGCTCCATGAGAGTAAGGGCCATGTTCAGCTTTGTAGGATTAGTGTCTATAACATCTAATGGCACATGACATGCATTAGGCAAAATTAAGCACCAAAATATGTGATGAGTAAATACACTTAAATATTCCAGGCTTCTTATTTAGCTTAGCTATATAAATAAATTCAGAGTGGTCAGCAATTAGTGGAAACTTGTGAGTTTCAAGATTCTTTTCCACCTGAACTTGTTCGAATCTGGTTACTTCTAAAGTTCCCTTACAGCTTTGGAGGAGGGAAGGAGAAACAAAAAAGAAAATGGAGGCTTCTGAAGTCATAAAAAAATGAAGAATTTTATTCTTCCTCTATCACATATTCTCCTTGTTTTTCTATATAAAAAGGCATATACAATTTGATTCATGCTTGATGCTTTTTCAAGGTAAACAAGAATTTAACAACATTCTATTTTTAAACATTACGTAACTACTGACTTCTTTTTCCATGTTGACTGAGGCTTTGTTTTCTCAACTTCATTTTGTGAGAGCAGCCAATGGTATCACCTCTGTGTATATTCCTTACCCAAGGTTGAAACTATTCCTCCCCAGCTTCTTGATACACATAATAAGTTGGCATCTACCTTACCTACAACAGTTCAAGACAGTACAAGAGTTGGCATCTCTTACCTACAACAACATTGTTACACGATTTGCTTTTGAACTAAAGCATATAGATAAAATACTAAAAATACAGATCGGTGCTGTTTTGTGTACTGTATTTACAATAAAATACAGATATAATACTAAAAGGCAAATCTTCTACTTCAAATATTTGATTTACTGGCAGTAGAAAATGAATTCTGATTAGTTAAAATTATGTCCTAAAAAAGTCTTACATTGCTTTAATAACATATATCCAGAGTATAATTATGCTGTTTCATGTGTTTGAGATTTTCAAAGAGTTTTGGCATTGTGAGCCATCCCTTTGTGCTGTTTCTATCCATATTATAACCACTGACTTTTGTTGTTTTTTTGTGAAGACATTTATTTGCAAATGACAGAACTTAGAGAGGCACTTCTTTGCTCGAGTCAGCTTTATTAAATTATGATACTTACAAGGTTGGTTTTCTATGAAATATTTAGTTTTAGCTTATTTCTAGAACTGCTGTCAGTCTCAGCTGCCCATCCCCCTGCTGGGAGACTAGATTAGCCATTGTCTGCTCTGGTGCCTGTTTTTTCCAAAGTCATTCTAGTACAGAGTTACTGCAGAGATGAATATGGCCTTGGGCAAGTCATTTAGCTTTTCTGTACTCTCCTATCTTCATTTATAAAATGCGGATTAAATGACCTTTCTCTACCTACCTATCAGAAGTGCTTTAGATAAAATTAGATAATAGACATGAATGTACATGGGAAATGAAAGTGTTGTAATAAAACATGACAATCTATTCTGAGGAACCCACATAGAAAAAATGTGTGTACAGAGGTTTTTAAATTCGTATTTTTTTGGTGACTAATTGCATTCATGAATCAAGTTGTTATCAAAAAGAAAAAAATGGCTTTGAAAATTCAGGACATTATATTTCTATTATAAAAGTGTTTAATATCTAGTGGAGATGTATTTTAAAAGTTATAATCTGTTTTAAGGAGAGATTTTCATAACTTTAAATCTTTATAATAAATAATATTCTGAGTCAGAGGCTCCACTGGAAACTATCGGTGACCTTCTGTGACTTATACAGGGACCGACTACAAGTAGAGAAAGCCATAAGGTTTCTATAGGTAGAGAAAGAAAGAAGACAAAAAAAGGGAGTTCTGATAGATTGCATCTAAAATAAAACTCAGGAAAAAATTTAGATCACTTCTTGAGAAACATCCATTGAGAAGAGAACCACCAGGTTTTCAAACAATAGCAATTCCACATTACAATATGATTTTCTGTTCTTTGTTCTTTTTTTTTTTCTTTTCTCTATGCACTGAGGCAGGATAAGTTAGAGAAAAACAGAAAAATTCAAAGGACATATGTGATCTTTTGCTAAAGAGATGGTAAATACACAGTTGAAGGTCTCTTTTACTAGATAAAGATCAAAGGTTGAGTGAAAGCCTATAGAAAGAACTTTTAAGACCAAGTTTGCTGGATATACCCAAGTGTACCGATTCATGAAAGAAGCCCACTTGATGACAATTCAGATAAGTTAAATGCCATAGCCTGAGAGAAAATTAGGGTTAAATTAAACAATAAATTATATCAATTAAAGATAGTAAAATGGAAACACAAGTATTTGTAGATATTTATATACAGCGTAAAACAAAATTCTGGAGAATTTAAATGTCATATTCTTTATTATTTATTTTCATTGATATCCTTAAGGAATTCAGCTTTATTGAACAAGCATGGAGATTTTAAAAAGCACGCTATGATATTTGATTCATCATACCTAGGAAAATATTATAGTGTTAACTCTAAGGCTGCATAGTGGGTTTAATCTTGTCTGCTGGCTGTGTGCCCTTAATGCTGTAGTCATTCCAGTCTTGCATATGGAAGCCCACAAAGGTAGGTGCAACGGACAACTTTGCCAGGAGAGGATACTTACCTGAATTTCTAAAAACACATATATGCTCCTTTGTCATTCCAACAGAATTCTGAAAACTGTTCTAAGTATTTTCTTTGTTTTGTCTAATTGTTATTTATCATTTTCTTTAAAATTTTACTGCCCATTTCATTAGGCCAATTAACAATATCTGAAGTGTAAATAGTTTCTTAGAACCCGTTTTGCTATTCTCAAAAGTGTTTCCAATTTTGTTTTATTTTGTTATTCTTATACATTAAATTGCTGTTTTCAATAAATAGCAATGAACAAAAAATAACATAACCGTAATATAAAAGCAACAATCTTGTATGATTTATATGTGTATGATTATCTGTTTTGCACCTTTGAAAGTCAATTTCTAGAGAGCAGAGGTCATAATTTGCATCTTTCTTTGGTGATAATAAATAACGTGCACTGAAGTCTGTCTTTGCAAAGCAAATGAAACAAAAAACAAAGCCATCAAACATTATGGATTGAATAATACACACCTTAGAGACACACAAAGAATTACTTTTTGTGTTTCTAATCACTTGACACAGGACGAGAATATCTTCTGTATATGCCAATTATTTTCTAATCCCCAAAAGGCTAACATTTGAAAATTTAATAGATGTTATAACTTTCTACACAGAGTCTGTAAATGATACAAATATATAGATGAACACCTTTGCAAATCATTCATTTAAAAATGTTTATTTGTTAAATGTAATGACTGTTAATGTTTTCTATCACAGAGATAAGTTGTGATTATAGGCCATTTGTGTTTGGGGGAATTTCAGAGCATGTTTCTATTCCATTTAGAAAATAGAACAGAAAAGAAGGGATCATGGTGCACACCAAGGATAGAATTGTACAAGGAACAGAGGAAAGTAATTGATGTCAATGGAAAATATCTTTCTTTTTGTTTAAAATCAAGTGGAAAAGTGGAAAGATTAATACTTTTAGCCAAATATGACTGAAAATTCTTCATAGGAAAAGTTGTCAAAAATGCCCCCGACATAATTTTTCTATATTGAATTTTCCTGAATTTTTCCTCCTAAACTTTTATTTCTGTTTGCTAAAATTACATTTCTAATAAGAATCATAATATACTTGAATTTTTCTTTCTTTCTTCTTCTTCTAGTTGGACTTCCTGCTAACAGCATCACTGATACTCAGTATGGATAAAAGTTAACAAATTTCAGTCTAACTTTGGGGTTCTTTATGAACATAGATTTGTAACTGAGCCAGCTTATGAACAAAAAAAAGTAGGTAGCAGGTTTGTGAAGCAAATTAACTGGGGGCCAGATTTAGCCTTCTAAACTCATTTCATTTGCACCTCAGCTTGGACTTAAGCCATTAGCACAGCAGGGAAAAAGCAATGGTTATGCACCAGGCCACCAACACTTCCATGCATAAGATTTTGCAGAATGACAGAAATAATGAATGTAATTAAAACAGCATGTAGCCAAGAAAAAATAATTAGTATACAAGTTGGATGGCTCTGGGAGGCCCATGACATGACAAAAACATTTTTAAAGGGTTTAATGATATCCTAAACTAGTTTCGTTTCCACATAAGAATTTGTATATCATAACATTTGATAAATGAATGTTCTTAATAATCATCTTTGAGCTTTAGATTTAGGTTGTTCTAGTTTTAATAACATCAGCTTTTATTCTCAGAATTTTTTCACTCTTGGAATGACAGCTATAAATTATTTAATTCTTATTTTCAGCAGGAAGAAGGAATATAAATGCCCAATGTTCATAAACTGATAAAAGTTAATTAAGATTTAATAATTATTAATCAAATTCAAACCCCAAATTTTAAATTATTTATTTGTAATCATATAGGCTGCAATCATTAAAAGCATATTAATCTTTATAGAGAGAGAAAGAAAGAAATCCAAACTTTCTCAAGGAAGACTGTTTTGGAAAATCAAGTCAAGAACCACTAAGAACTGTGCTAATTTTTAAAAATTGTAAAAGTATTGTACATTCTTGAAAGCACAAGTACTTAAAGTTAAAAGAGAAATATATATTCTAGACAATTATATTTCCAAAAATGTTTTAAAAACTGTGTTAAATTAAATATATATTTTTACAATGTAGAATATCTTTTCTTCTCCAAGTAAACTATTAATACAACCCCCAAACAATTTTTAAATTATTTTTCTTCATACATCTTTCAGTACGTAAACCCAAAATGACTTCTAAGCTTTTTTTTTTTTTTTTTTTTTTTGGTAAATTCCTTAGAATTTAAAAAAATTGCAATAGAAAACCAAAACAAGTAGGTTATAACTAAGAAAAAAATATGACAGAGTAGATGCAATTTGATTGTTCTTCAAGGATAAATAAATTGTAGAGTGAATGCAAAGCAAAGGAAGACTTTGCCAACTGCACGGACATGTAATTAACAAGATTGAAGAAATTTCAAAATTTGAGCCTTTAGATGTCTAAAAGAATAATAATGCTATTGACAGAACTGTGAAATGAAAAGTATATTTGTTGAGGAAATGATAAAATTCAGATGTTGAGATTGAAGTAGCCATAAGGAATTCAAGGTGTGAAATATTAATATTTATAGACTGTACAAAGGGAAGATCTTAGAGGTGGCAACAGTTTGGAAAGCCGTTGGCTTAAAGGTTCTAGTTAATGATTTACTAAGGTGGTTGATGCCTTATTTCAAATGATATTTTTCACTCAAAATATTTTTAAAAGAGGGAATCGTGTAAAGACAGATTTTAAAATGGTATATGTAAATATAGATTAAATATATTTGTATTGTATTACATTTTAAATAGAATGCTTTTAAACAAATCAGTAACATGCATCATTTTGCCTATAAGAAATGAGCAACTATATATTTACAAATGAAATTTAAAATGTAAATTAGTGACTATATATTTATAACAATACCAGCCATAGTTGTTAAATTATTTTATATCTTGAGATAAAATAAAATACACATTTTCTCAAGAAAAATCACTGAAGAAAGTGAATCAGATACCACAGAAAGTGAGCCCCAAGGAATACAACATGGACTTGCTTCACCACTTCTTCTCAAATTCTATTTGTAGATGTAGAATGGGGGAAACAAGGTCCTCTGCATTTTAGGACATCAATTGCATATCACTCTAACTTTAAACAATGAAAGCTATAATACACACTGCGGAGTCCCTGCCCTTTACATGTCCACAGTCTAATGAGGGAGATGGTCATACTAAATCACAATTCAAATATTATGAGGAAGCATGTCACACTGTATTAAAAAAAAAATACTGCGTCAATAGACTTGGGATCCTTCCTAGCTCATGGGTAAATGGTTTTTTCACCTGGCTCTTTTTTTTTTTTTTAAGCTGGCAGCCTGAATTCTTGCAATTTATTCTATGTTTGCCTTCTGCTGACATGAGAGAGCCTCTCTTGAAGATAATCTGGCAGCAGAATTTTTTTTAATAGTTTTTGTTTGTGTTAAATGATAAAATGACCATTTTAGGTTTTTACTAGTTTTCTCCTATAAATCATCTCTTAATATGTACTTACACTGCCAAGGATTCCATACTTTAAGTATTTTGGCTATTATTTATTGTAATATTTCTTATTGTTTATCCTTGAAATTTAGTCAATATCTGTAAAAGAATGAAAACAGTTGAAGTAAAATAATTAATCTGCATGAGCACAGGTACCAAAGCATCCAAATAACATGATACTATGTGTTGTTGGAACTGATCATTTATCGTAAGTAGAAGTTTTAACTGAAACAAATTATCAGTGGCTAATTGTCTATTTGGCAGAGCTCATGGCCAACATTATTTTGGCTGCTCTTGATTAGGAAGTGGACCACAGGACACCAAGGGATTCTTAATTGATTGTTATTAACAGTCAGTGGAATGTGTTTAATAATGAATAAAACTGGACTAGACGGACATTCTGATTTAAAAAATGCTGAAAAGAATTAGAGTTCAAAACATCTCAAATATGGTTCAGCTATAGATCTATATAACTTTCTTTCAATCCTACATTTCAAATGCCTTGGGAGAAAGGAAACTGATTTTTGAAGTGAAAGCTGAAAATATTTGTTTGGGAAAGCAGTAGTTACATTGCAAATATAAAGGCTGTAGTGCTTTGTCATCTATCAGTTGATCAGTTGTATACTTAATACAACTTGGAACAACTTTTTAGAATCCATGGCTTCACTAAAGTAAATATTACAATGATGGAGCAGCTGAAAAGAAACTTCTGGTCAAATGGATAGTACAGTTAAAGGTTATCTCTGAATGTAGACATAGAGATGATATTAAGACATATTTGGCTCTATAAATTGTCTTCTTAACTCTCATCAACAGAACTGTTCATGAACTGAATGCTAATATGCCCAGTTATTTGAGAAAAGGAAGGGCAAGGCAAGGCAGGACAAGACTAGATCAGACAAAAACCATAGCCATCGCCTTTAAACTAGTTTTATAGCTTGGCATGAGTCAAATAGTAGAAATCAGGAATATTTAAACATGACGTTTATTGTATTAGTAGTGTTTTGCTGTTAAACAGAATTCCCAGAAACAACAGGGAATAACAGATTAGATACGATTTTCTCAGCTTTGCTAAACACTACTAAAAAGTCATTAAATAATTTCCAATCAGGCTGTGAAAAGAAGTGGTTGGCATTTATGTGATTTCCAACAGGTGAATAACTTTGCCTTAGGAATAAAACATACATTATTCATTGGCCAAAACCCAAAACAGTTCTTCAAATGAAAATAAATGAACAATTTTGTTTCAAGTAAAGATATAAAAAGTTCAGGGTGCTCTAATTATAACAACATGGATAATATAGTAAACTAGAATAGTATTTTAGAAATAATGTGTTTAAACTCAAAGAAAATTATAACACACTGTCAACAGAGCACTTATTATCTAATTGATCTCCTTCTTTATGGATGATACCAGTAGAAAAGAACAGTATCATCAACTAAGCTAATGAACCTTTCTCAAAGCTACGAGAGAAGTCCAATGGACAAACATATATTAATCTCTTTTCTTTGCTAATCCAATGGCAACTTTTAAAATGCTAGTTTCAATCATTACTTCTTAATTATTGTCTACACTTGAATCTAATAATCTAAATCATTATCTATAATTGAAGATATTCTAAATACTTCCCACTCATCACTTCTATTCAACACAATACTGGAAGTGCTAGCCAGAGGAATCAGGTAAGAGAAAGAAAAAATGGAATTTAAATAGGAATAGAAAAACACAAACTATCTCTCTTCTTTGATAATGTGATTATATTCTCAGTAAGCCCTAAAGACTGCCAAAAGTCCCCTGGACCTAATAAAAATATTTCAGTAAAGTTTCAGCATACAGAAACAATGTTCAAAAATCAGTAACATTTTTATTCACCAATAATATTCAAGCTGAGAGTCAAATCAAGAATGCAATCCCATTTACAATAGCCACAAAAAAACTAAAATATGTAAAAATATATCTACACATGCAGGTAAAAGATACCTACAAGAACTATAAAACACTGCTTAAAGAAATCATAGATGACACAAGCAAATAAAATAACATTCTATGCTTATAGATTGGAAGAATTGATATAGTTAAAATAACCATACTGCCAAAAGCAATCTACACATTTAACTCTATTCCTATCAAACTACCAATGTAATATTAATAAAACTAGAAAATCTTCCAAAATTTATATGAAACCAAAAAAGAGCCTGAACAATCATAAAAAACAAAGAAGACCACCAGAGGCATTACATTACCTGACTTCAAACTATACTATAAAGCTACAGTAATCAAAACATCATGGTACTAGTACAAAGAAAGAAACATAGACCAATGAAACAGAATAGAGAACACAGAAATAAAGCCACACACCTACAGTCATCTTATCTTCAACAAAGTCAATAAAAACAAGCAATGGGAAAGGAATTCCTAGTCAATCAATGGTGCTGGTATAACTGACTGGCCCTATGTAAAAGAATGAAACTGGATCCCTAACTTTTACCTTATATGGAAATTAACTCAAGATGGATTAAAGATTTAAATGTAAGACCTCAAACTATAAGAATCCTAGAGGAAAACCTAGGGAAAACCACTGAAGACATTAGCAGTGGGAAAAATTTTGACTAATTCCTCAAAAGCAATTGCAACAAAAACAAAAATTGACAATTGGGACCCAATTAAACTAAAGAGCTTCTGCAAAGCAAAAGAAACTACAAAGAGAATAAATAGGCAACTTACAGATGGGAGTAAATATTTGCAAACTGTGCATCCAACAGTGGTCTAATATCTGGAGTTCATAAGGAACTTAAACAAATCAACAAGCAAAAAAACAACCCCATTAAAAAGTGGGCAAAAGGGCCAGGCGCAGTGGCTCACGCGTGGAATCCCAGCACTCTGGGAAGCTGAGGTGGGCGGATCACGAGGTCAGGAGATCGAGACCATCCTGGCTAACACGATGAAACTCGGTCTCTACTAAAAATACAAAAAATTAGCCGTGTGAAGTGGTGGGTGCCTGTAGTCCCACGTACTTATGAGGCTGAGGCAGGAGAATGGCATGGACCCGGGAGGCAGAGCTTGCAGTGAGCCAAGATATCGCCACTGCACTCCAGCCTGGGCGACAGAGCGAGACTCTGTCTCAAAAAAAAAAAAAAAAAAAAAAAAGTGGACAAAAGACATGAACAGACACTTCTCAAGGCATACAAGTGGCCAAAAAGTATATGAAAATATGTCCCATGTTGCTAATCATTAGAGAGGGAGAGTTGGGGCAAGAGTTGAAAAACTACCTATTTGGTACTATGCTCAGTTCCTGGGTGACAGGATCATTTGTACACCAAAACTCAGCATAACAAAATGTACCCAGGTAACAAACCTCATATGTACCTCCGAGTCTTAAATAAAAGTTAAAAAAATAAATTCATGAAAAGAAATGAAATACTCATCATGAAAAATAAATAAAAGCAACTGTTGTGAAAAAAATTTAATATAGTAGTATTTTAATATTCATCTTTATTATATTTTCCATTTTAAATTTCAATGAATATAAGAATTTTTGTATACTGAGTGATATTTCCATATAGAAAAAATGTATACCTAGGAATGTACAATATTTTATAAAATTATACCAACATGATATCAACACAGCTTTGCTTTTGAAATTCTCAGGATTGAAACCAGCCAAAACAAAAGATATGTTGAAAGACTTTTAGGATCCTCATCTCCATTGAGTAGAATTAAGTACTAGTGGTTCCCTAAGATTTATAAAATATATAATACTGAAACCCTTTGATAGATAGTTGTTTACCCTACAAAGACATTTTTCTTGTCTGCTTTAATGAAGCAAAGGCCTAGCAAATATTAAAAAACAGTTTATTACAATGACTATGAACGTACTTGAATAAATTAGATGTGGAACTTGAAAATCTTCAGTCCACTCAATTTTCTGAGAACATTTTTAAAGTGCAAAAACTACTGCTGTAGTTTTTCTTATTAGTTAATTTCTATATATTACCATATAAACAAATTAATTCAAGATGGATTAAAGATTTAAGTGTAAGACCTCAAACTGTAAGAATCCTAGATGTAAACCTAGGAAAAACCACACTGGATATTAGCTGTGGGGAAAAATATTATGACTAATTCCTCAAAAGCAATTGCAACAAAAACAAAAACTGACTAGTGGAAACTCATTAAATTCTAGAGCAAAAGTAATTGCGGTTTTTGCCATTAAAACTGCATCCAACAATTTTCAATTACTTTTGCACCAACCTAATAATTAAGTAATGTAAAAAATTATAATGATAATGATAAGACTAAAGTTTATATTTTGAATTATTTTATTCTAGAACTGATCCAATGGTAGAAAACATAATAGACATTACTATCCACTGAAAAATCTTAATGTTCACAGATTCGATTCCTGTGATATATTACACACACATATTTGTCATCTTGGAAAAGTATAGTAACCGAATGAAAATTTTAGAAACAAAACTAGGGTAAACAAAATGGGAAAGATACCTGGGTAAGATGACAGCTTCAGTTATTTTTTTTCTAATTTCCCCAAGGTCTGATCTTGCCTCAGCATTAGAAATGGAGACAGAGTGCCATTCACATGCTAAAAAGTTTAGGACTGTCTTCTAGACATGCAGGAGATATGATCACATTGAAGAAAACTAATAAAGACTGGAAAATAGTGTTCTTATTGAGAATGCAGCTAAATACTGTGGAAGTTGAGTAGAGGAGACTGGCTGAATCACATAAAAGGAAATGTGAAGTATGTCGCAAGTCTTCATGATTACCATTGATGAGTAAAATTTTAACAATATTCCAGACGCAAGGATCCCAAAATGTTAGCACTTTTTGGATAAATACCAGGTCAAAGAGAACTCTACTCATTAAAAAGCAAACAAACAAACAAAAAAAATAGTTAACTGAAAAGAAAGAAGCTTGCCAACTGTTAAAGAAATATTTGCTGTATAGAAAGCAGAAGTCATTTTCAGGGGTAAGTGTGTTTTTAGTTTTGAAAATGCTTTACTAGTGAACACAATATGTATCAGAGTACCTACTTTGTGCTTTCGACAAAATGCAAGGAAACATAGACTGTTGGAGAATAAAGAATTCAAGTACAGAAGTATAAAAGGAAAGGAAAATCAACTAATATGAGAAAAGATTGTAGCTAAACTGATATTAAAACTGATAATAAATTGCAAATGGAAACAGTATTGAATATAATCTCTATTATAGATAAAATTGATCTATTCCTTCCTCTCTTTCTGTCTCTGCCTTTCCTTTTTACTTCCTTCTTTCCTTCTTCTCTCTCTTTCTTTCTTTCTTTCTCTTCCTTTCCTTTCTTTCCCTTTCTTTCCTTCCTTCCTTTCTTTCTTTCCTTCTTTCTTTCTTGCTTTTCTTTCTTTCTTTCTTTTCTTTCTTTCTTTCCTTCTTTCTTTCTTTCTCCATCACTCTCCCTTCCTTCCTTCCTTCCTTCCTTCCTTCCTTCCTTCCTTCCTTCCTTCTTTCCTTCCTCCCTCCCTCATTCCTTCCTTCCTTTTCTTTCTCTTTCTTCTTTGGAAAGTCTGTATATCAAGAGGAGAGCAGCCCTGTGAGTAACTGAAAGAAAGTCTAGATGGATTATTCCCAATCTCATCCTATCTACTGTAAAATGCTTTTTGCTCCTGAAATGTGATAGAATGAATAGTCTATCAAATCAACCTTTTGCAGAATAAGTTGATATAGAAGACAAACTTAACATAGCTTTTTAGAATACGAATGAATATCAATGATGTGAGTAAACCAGTCAGAGAAAATGGAGCTATGATAAAGGCTATTGCAAGATTAAATTCTATGGCTCTTGAAGGAGAAGATGGAAACAATGGAAAATAAGATATAATCACTACATAAAAGAAAAACATTATTATGAGCTAAGGAAATATGAAGAAGATCATAAAGTAAAAAGTATGTATATTAATAAAAGGAGGTCAACACCTAGGCATATCTTGGTGCGTTTAAATTTCAATGACTATAATGATTTCTATATAATGATTGACACTTCCATATAGACAAAATGTATACCTAGGAATATACAATAGTTTGTAAAATTAAATGAACATGAAATCAACACAGTTTTGCTTTTAAAATTCTCATGATTGAAACCAGCCAAAACAAAAGATATGCTGAAATACTTTTAGGATCCTCACCTCCACTGAGTAGAATTAAGTACTAGTGATTCCCTAAGATTTATAAAATAAATAATGCTGAAACCTTTTGATAGATAATTGTTTACCCTACAAAGATATTTTTCTTGTCTGCTTTAATGAAGGAATGGCCCAGCAAATCTTAAAAAGCAGTTTATTGTAATGAGTATGAACCTACATGAATAAATTAGATCTGGAACTTTAAAATCTTCAGTCCACGCCACATTTGAAAGTATACTATAGTATACTGAGAAATAAACCAAAATTAAAACTTAAAAAAAGGGGGTATAAAAGGGCTAATATTGAAAATATTTTTAACCAGGTTTAAAATTTATTTTTGTTATTATAATATGGCTATATCATCTAATAGATATGTTAATAAATGTTAAAGAGGAAATAAAATAACAAAATTAATATAATTATATTATTCAGAGTTTAAAAGATACCATATCTGTAGAATATAGGAAGTTATTAAAAACTAGATTTTACTGAGTTTCATAGATTTCATATGGGGAGTCAATAGAAATTGCTTTATTCTTGGCAAGATAATTAAGAAAAAATTTTGAAAAGTTTACATCAAAAGCAACAATTAGTAGAATTATACATTTCTTTCAATTGCCAGAGGACAAAAGAATAAAACAGTACATACAAGGAAAGAAAAAGTGATGGAAATAGAAAAGAAAATGTGAAAAGAAAACACATACTAGGAGTTGTAATCTATTGTAATGATAAAGAAAACATCAATAGTCATCATCTAGGTAAATGTATTTAAACACACCAAATTCTTCTCTGTTCTCTATGCTGTGTGCCTTTGCTCCGAACCCCTACCCCCACCCCCCCCCCCCCACACACACACACAAAACATGTAAAAAATTATTTCTATCAACACCTGAAAAAGCAGCGTATATCCTATTGGTGGCTGATTTTTATGGAACTCTAAAGATGTGTGTAGTGGGTGAAGCCAGAAACGCTATTCTTTTTTGTCCTGCTTTTCTCTACTTTTCTGCTTTTCCCTCCCCTCCAGTCCTCTCCCCTCCCCTCCAGTCCCCTCCCCTCCCCTCCAGTCCCCTCCCCTTCACTCTCCTCCCCTCCCCTCCACTCCATCCCTCCTTCTTTCCCTCTCTCCCTCCCTCTCTCCTTCCCTCTTCCTTTCCTTTCCTTTTCTTGCCTTGCCTTGCCTTTCTCCTTCCTTCCTTCCTTCTTTCCTTCCCTTTCCTTTCTTCTTTTGAAAGTCTGTATTTCAAGAGGAGAGCACCTCTGTGAGTAAATGAAGCAAAGTCTGGATGGATTCTTCCCAAGCTAACCCTATCTAATTTATAATGCTTTTTGCTGCTGAAATGTGATAAAATAGTCTACCAAACCCAGCTTTTGCAGAATAAGTTCTATTCTTGGTTGTACATATCTTTCTTTTTTTTAAAAAAAAAAAAGCTACCAAGGTAACTGCTTCATTCTTTGGGGAAAAACATAGATTTTCATTCCAGAGCTTAGAATATAATGAATAAAAATACTAAATATTAGTCAGCTGCAAATGATATTAAATAGATATTTTTGAATGAGTAAAAAAAAATAGGTCATTACGTAAGTAATCTATAATTGGATATGATTTTAAAGTGTTAGTAACAAAAGAATAAGATGTAGAAAATACTATATTTGTATATACAAAATATTGTAATACATATAATGGCTTGAAGCTAAGAGAAGAGTGTTTGATGAAGAGTGTTGACTACAAACTTAATATTTTATAGACATAAAATGCCTATGAGTGTTAGAAAGTATCTTTGGAATTATCTATCTGAAATTTGTATCATATTTTTGCTTTATGGAGTTATGTAAAATGTCTTATCCCTTAGCCATTGAAATATATCATGATTTTCCTATACCCATTGTCTTCTATTTTCAAAAC
Organism: Homo sapiens; assembly: GCF_000001405.40. Classification (NCBI taxonomy): domain Eukaryota; kingdom Metazoa; phylum Chordata; class Mammalia; order Primates; family Hominidae; genus Homo; species Homo sapiens. The sequence goes on along the minus strand of NC_000006.12, from coordinate 92,159,464 downwards.
TGGTATTTTTTCTGTTCCCTCACCCATTGCTGAAATTTCTGTCTTCCAAGCTACTCTTCTCTGAAATCAGTGCTTTCTTTGAGTAAGCAAGAATCTCTATTCTTCACAGGTAAAAGTCCCACAGTCAGGCCTGGTATTTAAAGTAATGTGTAACCTCACGTATCCTATCCAACTGCAATACCTAATTCTGACACTAAGAGAATCCTTTTCTGCAGTCCAGTTATGGACTATCATCACCACAACTTTGTATATGTCTTCTTATATCTTGTTATTTATGTCAATCCTCTGACCTGAATATCCTTCCCATTTTATATATGGAAAGTATATGGGGCAGCCTGCTTCTGCACAAGTGTGCCCCCCCCACCATTGTCACCCACAACACACACACAAACACACATGGCACACCGTACCACATATGCATATACTTCTTTACCTCTCAAAATATGCAAAAATGAAGCTATTTTTTCACCCTGGGAAGTCTTACAAGACATGTTATGTCCACAATTATTTATTTCTTTTCTGAGAATTTATTCCTGTGCAAGGCATGTAACAAAGAACTATGCATTATTTTATGATCTTTTTGAACATTTGCTTTCAAACATTATTCTCTATGCATGTAGATTTTTACTGTCTATATTTTACTTCCCCAAGTAGAGTGTAAGCTCTTTGAGCACAGGATAAATTAGATTTTACTTTATTTTTTTTTCTATCCTCCACCTCTTGCACAAATAATGTAGTACTGAAAACATATTTGTTGATTTATTTACTTTATCCAGATCTCAAAATAACATATTACCAGTTGGAATTGAGAAAAAAAAAAACTTTCAATATTCCTTTAGAATTTATAAGGAGCAGGCATTACATTTAGATGAAACTTGAATTATTCAACTTAAAGTTACTAAACTATGAAATGCTCATAGAAAAGCCAAAGGTGTAAGCGCAGCCATGTATAATGTCACTGTAGGTTAACGATGGAATAGATCTTTTCCACATTTTCAGTGAAAGCATTTGTGAAAAGATGTATTGCTCCAAGTTGGGAATCTATATTCTGCGACAGCTGCTGACTAGTAATGAGATCTAATGAGCTGTCTCTTTATTGGAAAAAATAACATTTGCAATAACAGCCCCTTTGCAAATTGTAAAAGAGTATGGGAGTACAGATATAACCCCCAAGTTGATAGGGGTATATTCATGTCAATGTCATTTCAATTCAAATCTGAGTTTCTGTTCTCATTTAAAGTAAGGTACACTCCGATGTGAAAATCAAATCCTTTTCTCCCCAAATAGCCTCTGGCTAAATTCATGTAATATTAACAGAACATTGGTGCCAATATTATCATAGTAAACTTAAGACAATTAAGTTTAAACAATGATAAGCTTTTCAGATATCGTTTCCAAGTTTAACAGAAAACTATTGTTCTTTCTCATTGTTGTGTTCAGCTAATACTCAGGGTCCATTGTTGGAAATGGATATACTGATATGTGAATAGCCATCCCCTTTGCTCACTCCACAACTCCTCAACATACACATAAAAAAGCCAACTTTGCTAAGTAATACAATACTATCTTTGAAAACTGATGGGTGGTTTGCATTATCTTAGAATGCCTCAAGGCTCAAGTTAAAATCAATTGAAAGTAGCAGTGGCAGCAAAAATATAATTCATTTTGGAAATATAGAAAATACAATATTTCACATAATAAAAACAGGTACTATCAAAGGTTGTCAATAAAATGCAATTTCTTTTTTAAAAAAGTAATTTTACCCTTGACTCACATTTTAATCATAGGAGTCTATATGCACAAAATGCATACAGTTCTGAAAGCAATAATTTTTATGGCTTTTAAAATGCCCTAGCATTCCTTATAGAGGGATAGTGATTTTCTGCATCCAATCCATCTTTTCCTTTTCTCTCCCATTACAAGAGGAAGAACTACGTTATTCTTGAGGTTAATCCCTTCAGTTCTCCAATTCTCAACAACTCAACTTTTGTCTGGATTCCTTCTGTACATTTTACCCCCTCTATCTCCTCCTATATTTTCACCATGGCCATATCTTCTAGCTCTCGAATCAGCTTTAACTATACCTATATAACACACATGTTAAAAGCAAGGAAAAACAAACAAAAAGTCTCTCAATTTCACCTCTTTAACTCCTACTCTATCCTTCCAAATCACAGATGAACCATTTGAAAATAAAATTTCTATAATTCCTGTTTCCACCTTTGTACCTCCCATTGACTTTTCATTCTGCTCCTTGATACGCTATAATTCCTTTTCTAAGGAATCCATTTTCTAAGAAATCAACCTCTCAGTTCATTTTTTGGAATAAATTTTATTGTTTCTACTTAAGGTATATATAGCATAATGGAATATATGTAGATAGTAAAAAAGGTTATTATTGTGGGAAAATTAACATATCCATCATCTTGCATTGTTACCCAGTTTTTTTGGTTGTTGTTTTGTGACAAGAGTAGCTAAAATCTACTCATTTGGCATGAATTCGAAATGCAATACGATTTTATTACCTACAGTCCTTATGCTGTGCATTAGATCTCTAGACTTGTTCACCCTACGTATGTCTCTATTCATTTTGAATATACACCTATTGGAATGCCTCAGCCATACTTGACACTGTTGCTCACTTCACTTTCTGACTTGGCTTCCCTATTACCATACTCTCCTAATTATCTGTCTTCTTCAATTTTTTATCTTCTTCAGCCATATTTTCAGAGTCCTTGTTGTCCTATCACCTAAATGTTGTTGCTTCATATGATTCTGTCCTGGGCACTGTTTTCTTTTCATTCTTCATATTCTTCCCAGAATGACCTCATGAATTTCCAGCAATTACCATTTAGATACTGATGGGTCCCTATCTTTTTGCCCAGATCATATGTGTCTCTAATGTATCAGAATCATCAAAAGCCCATTGGGCATATATGTACCTCCATACTGAATGTATTCAACTCTTCTTTGTATATAAACATCCTTTTCCACCTGCAGTGTCTTCTAGATTTTTCTACATGAATGCATGACTGATAGGGTTTGGCTCTCTGTCCCCACCCAAAGCTCACCTTGAATTGTAATAATCCCCAGATGTCAAGGTCAGGACCTGGTGGAGGTAACCAGATCATGGCAGTGGTTTTCCCCATGCTATTCTCATGGTAATGAGTGAGTCTCAGGAGATCTGATGGTTTTATAAACATCCAGCATTTCCCCTGCTTGCACTCACTCACTGTCCTGCCACCTTCTGAAGAAGACGCCTGCTTTTCCTTTGCTTCTGTGATGATTGTAAGTATCCTGAGGTCTCCCCAGCAACGTGGAACTATGAGTCAATTAAACCTCTTTCTTTTATAAATCACCCGGTCTTGGGTATTTCTTCATAGCAGCATGAGAATGGACGAATATAGTCCAGAAGATATTGACCATTCCCTCACCTCAATACTCTCTCACATTACGTCTAATACAATTACTAAATTCTTCCAATTTAACTTCACAGATACTTCTCATATTTGTTAGCTCTCTTGTCCCATTCCACTAGCTTAATTCAGCTGATTATTAAATTGTATCTTAGCCAGGCCTGTGGATCAGCCTGATAACTATGTCTCTCTCTGGTCAGTGACTACATGGAAGCAAAGTGATCTAGCTAAACACAAAACTGATCGTATCACTTACCTCCTTAAAGTTATTCCATAATTTCACGTGGCTTTCGGGCTAACTTTCAGATCTTTAGCTTAGCTTTACTCAGTTCAGCCTTCTCTCTAGATCACTCATTTAGTGTCTGGAAGATGAAATTTTACCTTTGAGCCTATGGACATCCTTTTCACAGGTCACCTGATAACATTCACCTAGAAAAATGAAAGAAAGATAATTTTTTCAAATGCAAACATGTACAGAATGCCCCTCATGTACCAGGCTATGGACTCCACATGTGTTATCGCATTTAATCATGATATCTATGAAAGAAGTTACTATTTTATCCATCTTACCAACAATAAAACTAAGGCTTAAAGTGAATAAATAACTCTCCTAAAAATACCTGGCTGGTTTTGAACAAGAATCTGAACACAGTTCTTGCCTGACTCCAAAATTAGAACAATGACACCTCTTTAAAAACTTCTATTTGACTTTAAAATCACTATCGTGTGCTTTATCTATATTTTTCCAGAGCAGCCAATACTTTCATTAACTTAGCACTAATCACTCCACACTGTAGTTACCTATTAAATTATTTATATCCTTATATGATGCTTCAAAATCTGTATTGTCTAATTTATCTACGATTGTACTTGCATAAAACAGTCTTGGAAAAGCACAGTTAATTCATACCCAAGCTCTGAGATATCCAGAATAGCACCAATTCCTGCAGGTAGCCCTGCATGTTTTCTGCAAAAGTTCTCCACTTGATTTTTTAAGGTAAGGGCACATTTTAAATAGATAATTAGTCACTTTTGTCACAGAGCACTATGTTGGGTATTCGATCTTGTCAAGAATTTTTTTTCTCTCTGTTCTACTAAAAACAGCATCCTTCCTCATCTGTGGAATGGCCTCTCCTTCACTACATGTGATTCTTGTGTAGCTGCCCATCAAAATACTAAACCTCTCTGACCACAGGCGCAAGTGAGTGTGACCAAAATCTAGCCAATCATTGTATTCATTATCCTGACTACCTATTTTGGCACTAGGTATGCATATAACCTATTCCAGTCTAATACAAATTTAATAGCTAGATAATGAAATAGAAAAGCTGTCTGCATCATTCAGAGCTCTAATAGAAACACTGTAACTTTCTTAAGGAGAAAATAAATATTTTAAAGTATCTCGCCTAGGGACAGAGAGTCAGACTTGGAAGATACAGAGCCAAGAACAGTGTTCAAACCATGCTATAGCATTACTCTAGCAGAGACCTCACTGCAGCCCCCTTTTCAGTTTCCTAGTAAAAGCCTGGAAAATAGTTGGCATTAAGCAGGTAATCACTGAGTGCCCATGACACTGTATAATAAATATCAGAATCTGCCACAGAAAGCCAGAATGTATGACTCCCAATATTACTGGAAATTGATTCTGTCTAGGGCCTCTTCCTTCAAATCACTTTCTCCTGAAGCAAGATTTTTATAGGGGTATATGTGCTTGATAGATAAGCTTTAAGAAAAGGTGGGAAAGTGAGTCTTCACCTTTTATCTAAGGGAGGTAGGACTAATACCATGGGAAATTCCCAAGAAAAAAGCAAACTGAATGATGCTATGGGACAACTAAGCATGAAAACCACTAAACTCTTTCTCATACAGGATCACTTAACTTCAGGGTTATAGAAATGTGTATGTATCTTCAGTCCTGCTCTCCTTTTCTAACACTCAGAGGAAGCCAATATACAGTGGGAGATACTGGGTCAATACACAGAAACAAAGAACCCGAAAGAGAGCTAATGCCATCATTTAAGTTCCTGGAGTTCTTAGGCGACACTATTCATTGATTACACACACACACACACACACACACACTTCTTACATTAATTTGGATTGTATATCTGTCTCTTGCAGACAGGAATGTCCCAAGTAATGAAGATATTAGCGCTGGTTAATTTTCTGTGTCATCTTGGCTGGGCCATGGTGCCCAGATACTTGGTCACACACTATTCTGGATGTTTCTGTGAAGTTGGGTTTTGATTAGATTAATATTTAAATCAGTGGACTTTGAATAAATCATATTGCCTTCCATAATGTGGGTGGGCATCATCCAGTCAGTTGAAGGCCTGCATAGAACAAAAAGGCTGACCCTTCCCTGAGTAAGAGAGAATTCTTACTGCCTGACAGCCTTCAAACTGGAACACTGGCTTTTTCCTGCTTTTGGACTCAAAACTGAAACATTAGCTCTTGCTGGGTCTCAATCCTGTTGGCTTCTGGACTGGAACTACACCACCCGCTCCTGATTCTCAGCTCTTCCAAATCAGACTAGAACTACACCATCAACTCTCTGATTTGCAGCCCTTCACAATCAGACTGGAACTATACCATGAGTTAGTCTCAGTCTCTAGCTTGCCGACTCACCCTCCAGAATCTGGGACATGCCATTCTCTTATTCCTTATAACAAATTTATATATATATATGTGTGTGTGTGTGTGTGTGTGTGTGTGTGTATGTGTGTATACATGTTGTGTGTGTATATGTACATACATAGATATTTGTATACATATATATCCTATTGGTTCTGTCTCTCTGAAGAACCCTGACCAATACACATATACAAACATCTTCTTGGTTCTGTTTCTCTAGAGAACCCTGTGTAATAGAATACTCTACCAAGAAAATTGTTAAAAGAAAAGATGGGAATGTTCAAAGCAGAAAAACACTTCATATTTTATAGGAAAGTAATGACCCTTGCATGGAGAACATGGATACCATATCCTTCTTCCTCACCATACAGCAGCAATTTCAAGGTTAGATAGTTACATATACTCATGGGGAAAGGCCCTGTTTCAGAGTTAGGTGGTTACATATACTCACGGGAATGGG